>NC_000009.12:67422115-67588260 GCF_000001405.40 Homo sapiens
ATTTCATTGCATGCATGGAATGTGTAGTAATGAAGTCAGGGTATTTGGGGTGTCCACCACCTTTTATCATTTCCATGTGTTGGAAACATTTCAAGTCCTTTCTTCTAGCTGTTTTTGAAATATACAATACATCATTATTAACTATAGTCACCCTACTAATATTTCTGTGATTGAACCCTAGAATGTATTCCTTCTAACTGTATGGTGATACCCATTGACCAACCTCCCCTCATTATCCCATCCCCCTGACCCACATGCCCTTCCCAGCCTCTCGTATCTATCATTCTACTCTCTACCTCCGTGAGCATCTTTAGCATCCACATGAGTGAGAACCTCTTTAGCATCCACCTGAGTGAGAACATGTAATACAAAAATCGTATTTCCTACACATGTTCACTGTTTCCCAAATAAAACAAATTTTAGAGGATTGACATACAGTCGTGATATTTATTACTGAATTATTATAGCTTTGATATCAAAAACAAGAAAAAATACTTTGTGTTAGTTGACTGACTCACACTCCTCACACTCCTTTATACAATTTAGATATACACATACACACATACCATAACCACCATAACACACAAAAGCTTTTGAGCATTTCAAAGCATTTAGTTCAAATAAAAATTATTCTCAACAATAAAATTTTATTTTTCAAAAATGTCTAGGTATATATTTTTTCTATATTAACCTCTAAAGCTATGTAAACAAATTAAAATATGACTTAAAATATTTTGGATTTGTAGAAATTACATTTTAGTATGTAAATGCCATTTTCTATGCTCCAGAAACACTTATTTTTATTTTTATTTTTATTTTTTTGAGATGAAGTCTTGCTCTGTCGCCCAGGCTGGAGCGCAGTGACGCAATCTTGGCTCACTGCAACCTCTGCCTCCCAGGTTCAAGCAATTCTCCTGCCTCAGCCTCCCAAGTAGTTGGAACTACAGGCATGTGCCACCATGCCCAGCTAACTTTTGTATTTTTTTTAGTAGAGACAATGTTTCACCGTGTTGGCCAGGATGGTCTCGATCTCTTGACCTCGTGATCTGCCCGCCTCAGGCTCCCAAATTGCTGGGATTATAGGCGTGAGCCACCGCGCCCAGCCACTCCAGAAACTTTTCTAAATACAGGGAGTACTTCATATAGGCCAGCAACATTCCTGATTTGTTTATTCAAAGATGACTAAGAAGTTAGTCAGTCAACTTTTTACATTTTACGTGAGATTTTTTCTAGCTTAAGAATTGAGATATAAATGAGTTGGAACAAATTATTAGTATGGAATTACTGTTTAAGGATAAATGGTTTGCGAGTACTAAGTCATCAGTTACACTTGTGAGCTGGCTGACAACCTGGCACAGCTGAAAATACCAATTAATTTTCAATAGTCCAGCCCATCATGAGGAAAAGCAGAAATGCCCATCTGGACACTAAGAGAATCCCTGTGGGCTCTCACTCATTGCATTTCAATTATATTTAGGATGAGAGAAATGGCAAAATAATTAGACCTTTATGAAATTCAGAAATGTGTGAATCTTTTCCAAAACTTTATTAGACTTTAGTCATGCATCACATTCCCAGATTGGATGAGCAGCAGTTTATTGCCACATGGACAACTATCACAGAAAATGTTTAGTGATTGGAAAAGCTTGAACACAAAATGTATTTCCAGTAACTCTGATGGAATTGATATTACATTTGCCCACAAAGTTGTCACTTAGCAGCTTTTAGTGTTTAGGTAATACACACAAGTGATGGGGCAAGGCTCACTGCAGTGATGTAAGACCATAACAGGTCTTAGTTCCTGATGGAATCAATAGAGTAGCTGATAAAAGGGTGCTCTGAGTCACTCGGTGCCTCAGTCCATTTTTGCATTGCTATAAAGGAATATCTGAAGCTGGGAAACTTATAAAGAAAAGACGTGTATTTGACTCAGGGCTCTGCAGGCTGTACCAGAAGCGTGGCACTGACATGTACACCTGGAGAGGGCCTCAAGCTGCTTCCACTCATGCGGGAAGGTGGGGTGGAGTGTGCACAGATCACATGGTGAGAGAGGAGGCAAGAGAGAGGGGAGGTGCCAGGTTCTTCTTAACAACCAGCTCTTGCAGGAGATAACAGAGCGAGAACTCACTCATTACCCCCACTCCCCAGCACCAAGACATCCATGAGGGATCCGACCCCATGACCCAAACACCTCCCATTAGGCCCCACTTCCAACACTGGGATCAAATTTCAACATGAGGTTTGGAGGGTTCAAATATTAGTGACTGGAATGTGGATCATTACATTATTATTTCTTTAGACACATCAGTTACTCTAAGGATTTGCACCATGTATCCATATGAATTGATATCCCCATGGCCAATCCAGGAATGCTTATATATCTGCTCACAATACTTTTTTCAGGCTCATTAGTTCAATGCAATGTAACATTTAGAATACATCACAGAGTAGCATAGTAAGGAAAGGCCTTTATATTTTGTTCTAAGTGTGATACAAATATGCTGGAGGACTTTAATGTGAATTATGAGTTGAGAAGATAAATTGGGCAGCTGCAGAAAAATAGGCTGAAGGTGGGCAAAGGCCAAGGCAAGGATACCAGGTGGGGGCCATGTTGGCAGCCCAGGCAGAAGGAGATGGTCGCTTGATCCAGGGTGAGGGTAGAGGTGAAATGGGGTAAGACTTCAGAAGGAGAGTGAAGTCAGACTCTACAGATTTTATGATCAACTGCATGTAAATTTGAGAGAACCGGAAGAACTGAGGACAACTGTGACATTTGGCCTGAATGGGTGGTGGATGACTTGCTGCCTCTTAGACTGGAAATGCTTAAAGGGAAGGAGATTTGGGAAGTGAAAACCAGGAGTTCATGTTTGAACACGTTAAGCTGGACATGACATTGAGACATCCGAGTGGATGTATGGAGAGGGCTGAGGACTGTGTCACCAGGAGCTCACAGGAGAGGTGGTGGGAGGGAAATCCTGCAGAGACATCAGACTCTGGCTGGGATTTAAGGCTGTGAGAGAGGACAGCGAATCAGCCAAGAGCTGAGCCCTGAGGTCTCCAGCCTTGAGAGGAAGTTGTGACTTCAGCAACAGATTTTCAGTGTTGCTCTCCTTTTTGGCTATAGTTCCATTCGCCCTGCCTCTGCCCCCAACCACCTGCCCTCATGGGTACATATTGAGCAACAGGAAGAACTACTGATCAGAGTTTTTTTAAGTGTAAAAACAGCAAAGAAACAACGGACCACTCCTTTCAAAGGCAGAAGCAGGGATGTTTTGCTCCTTGGTTAAGCTAAATCTGGACATGATGCCAGCTTCATGGCCCTTCCCTGAACCCCTACCTACTGATACTGAGGAGTTTGTACAGTTCCAAGAGTGTTTCAGTAAACAATCTTTTTGTGCAAGGTACAGTTACCTACAAGTTAACAGAAAACCCTGTTCACCTGGTTTAAACAGTTAAATCTCACAAGCAAGGATCTGGAAGAGAGAGCAGATTAGGGTCGGTCCGCTCCAGGGCCTGCGGTGTTACCAGAACCTACTATCTCCATCTGTTGGCACTGCCATCCCCAGCACGCACCCTGCCCTCGGGCTCGCTCCTCGCTGGTCCTAAGGTGACCTCACGTCAGTCAGGACAGCACCAGTGGAAGGAGAGCGGTGAACCTCTGCTCTCACTTTTTTATGTCGGTGCGGAACTCTTTCTCAGGGGCTCCCAGATTCCTCATGGCTCCGTTGCCAGAATTCGGTCAGAGGCTCCCCCTAAACCAGAGGTAATAAGGTCAGCATGACTTCATGGTGACTTTGCTCCTAGGCTGGAAATTGGGTCACCTTCTCTTAGCACACATGAGCCAAAGCAAGGCTCTGATGGCAAGTAAGTGGGGGTGGAGGCAGGGGCTCGGCTGCTGTGGAAGAAACAGCAGTGTGGGCTGTGTATAGCTTCAATTTCCGGGTGGGCCCAGCCAATGTGTGTTCCTTCTGGGAAGAGGAACATGAGGTCATTGTGGGGCAGGAAGAGTGGAGACCAAATCCATGCACCCTATGGAATACAAAGCAATGAGGAACGTGGACCAGCCCACAGCTAACAAGCTGGGGAGACAGGAGGCTGAGACCCCGGACACACCCGATCCCAATTGAAAAAGACACTCCTTTTAGGTGACAGATTCTTGGCTGGACCAAAATTTCTTCATTCCCCTGAACGTTCCCCAAGGCCCATCTGTGCACTTCCTTATAAAGTGCAGTTTAGCAAGAACCCTGCTAAGTCAGTTTAGTAAGAACTCCCCACCCTCAATATCTGATCACCGCAATACCCAATCAGGTTTGTCATCCTCCGCTATCCCCCGGTTGATACCTCATCAGCCTGGCCTGTCTTCAGCAAGAATCCTACCAGGGGTAGCTTTAGCCAGAATCCCCCAGCCCTGCTGTTTCCTCTTCATAATTTTCCACCCACTGGCCCCCACCATGCCCTTGGTTATAAATTCCCACTTGCCCATGCTGTATTTGCAGCCCAGTTTCTCTTCTCCACTCTGAAATCCCATTGCCATGGACCCTATACCCGTCTCCATAGATCCCTCCTTCAGGAAAGTCTCTTGTACAGTGCTTTAACGAGTGTACCTGAATATCATTTCTCTGTTATATAAGAGTGAGAAAAGGAAGCCCCACTATGTGGGGCATAATTGAAACATGGATGTGCGTGCATTTCAGCTGATGATTCATTCATTCAGTAAGTAAGTAAGTACTAATTAGGCACCTAACTGTGTCTGGAAATGTGCTAACTGCTGGGCACAAAGATTATAAATTTATAGATTATAGATCTATAGGAAGACATGGATATATGTTCAGGTAAACATAGAGTGCCAGGGCAGAGCTCTGGGTAGGCCCAGAAAAGTGATAGACGGCACTTTCCAGTGGGAACAGGATCATGCCACAGAGGGACTTTGTGTGATCTAGGCCTAAAAAATGGTTATTTCCATGTCAGAAAGTGGAGAGAAAAGCATTTAGAACATGTAAACATGAACCTAGGCTGAAAACTTAATGTCTACGCATTTTAACACTATTTCTATGTCAACTGCAAATATGTCTACAGTTCATTTTATGACGTGCAAAGACAGGCTGCCTTTCTGCTCAGTCTGGACATTAGTTGAAAAAATACCATGGAACAATACCTAAGAAAATCAGTCAATATTTGGCATAAAAATCAAGCACATCTAGCCCCATGCCTGCTGAGGTTGCCTGCCAAGATTCTCCCACAGAGGAGAAATTCTAGTAATTTTCAATGCACCACTGGCTTTTTTCCTGATTCTGCCAGAAAACATCTGTTTGTTCCACGACTTGTCAGTAGGTTTATTCCCTTTAATTTTCACTTTGTGGCATAGAATGTCTAAGTAACAGATGAAAGAAAAAAAACAGTTGCTGCCACTCAATGATAAGGTCTTTCTCTAGACCAGGGGTTCTCAATCTGGAGGAATTTTGCCCCTCAGGGGACATTTGGCAATGTCTGGAGACATTTTTGATTGTCACGACTTGGGTGGGAGAAATTACAGTTTAAATTGCACTCTTATGTTCAATCATTTTTAAATGAAAGACCTCTTTCTCCTCGTGTGTGTGTGTGTGCACGTGCATCCCCCCCCACACACGCACCCACACTGAAAATAAGGAGAGGTTTTCTATTCACACATCCTTCCCTTCTCTAGCAGAAGCGGGACAGAGCTATCCCTTGCCTTGGCTACCTGTGGTGTGGGTGCAGTCCCCTTTCTCGACTGGCCATGGGTTCCCTTTGTGTGGCAGGTGTACAAATAATCATTCCTTCAAGGAGTGACTTTTTGGGATCTTTGCAAGATCTTACGAGCCCAGGGCCTTGTTTCTGCAAAGTTCATTGGCATGGAAGATCCTTCTCAAACTGACATCACATCTCTCCCCAGCTTCTGACCAAACTTCCTTCTGCAGAAATTCCCTTACTCAGTAGGCATTTTTGTGAAGATGGTGGAGCCAGGAAAATGGCTTAACCTCAGCCTCCTGCTGTGGTGCTGTTAACTCCATAGACACGCGTGGACCCTTGCCATGCCCCAGGCTAGAAATGGCTGCTCTTTGAAGACTCCTTTCTCAACCCTCTATGTTCTCTTCTTCCCTTTTCTCCAGCCTCAGCAGCTCATCTTCTCTGCCAACTGTGTAGCTTAGCAACTTCCCAATGAGGGACTCGCCCATTCCGAACTTTAGGGTTTAGGGTCCCAATCTCCAGGAGTAATCCTTTCTCTTAGGGCTATATCCTTTGGCTTTAGAGAGGTGAACAAGACTAGGATCTTTTCAGGAACATAGCACTCCCCAACTAGGTGACCATTCCTCCACCCTAGGTCCTTCTCTGATGTCCACTGTGGGACAAGAGTCTGGGAGAGGGTTTGTTTTCCCGAATTCAGACGTCCCAGCAAGCCTGTGGGAACCTGGGTGTCCTGAGAGGCAGCAATAACTGGAATGCCTTGTTCTCAGCTCTGAGCCTTACCCACAAATTGGCACAATTTTTTTAAAGTCTCTCCTGACACCTAATGCATCCTATTATTCACAAAAGCACTAATTGAAGAAAACATTGTTTTCCAAAAATGTCCAATGATTTACATATTCCTTCTCTACCTTTCACTTCGATTCAGCTATGTATTCATATGCAAAACCTAGAACTCTTAGAACAAAGGCTTTCCACTCCTGTCTCCCTCCATTCAGCCATGGCTGTCAGCAATCTGTCCAACATAAGAGGGACCAGAACCTTCTTCATCATCTCCCTCACAATTTCCAGCAGTTCCAGTTGGCCAAATGTGGTTCAAGACAACAGTTCAACTTAAGGAACCTCTTTGTTAGATGTCTGATGCCTGATGCATGAAGCTTCCTCTCATCCTTTTTTTCCATTCTAAAATGTATGTACTTGAGTGAAGGGTGGAAGGATAGAGAAGTTAATATAGTCACATAGCAATAACCTAGTTTAGGTGTTTCACAGCTTACTTTTCTAAAAGTAGACAATCTGGCCAGGCGTGGTGGCTCATGCCTGTAATCCCGGCACTTTTGGAGGCTGAGGTGGGTGGATCATGAGGTCAGGAGATCGAGATAATCCTAGCTAATATGGTGAAAACCCATCTCTACTAAAAATACAAAAAATATTAGCCAGGCGTGGTGGCGGACACTTGTAGTCCCAGCTAGTCGGGAGGCTGAGGCAGGAGAATGGCATGAATCTGGGTGGCGGAGCTTGCAGTGAGCCGAGATCATGCCACTGCACTCCAGCCTGGGCGACTGAGCAAGACTCCATCTCAAAAAAATAAATTAATTAATTAAATAAAATAAAAGTAGACAATGCAAAGTATAACTAATGAGTGAAGGAATTTTTACAAGTATTATAACCTTTCTCATTATGTTCAGAAAATAAATATATTGAATAGATTTATATTTTTGTTCTTGTTTCTTACCTGTTTAGTCAACTGATTTTCTTTTTTTCTTTTTCTTGAGATGGAGTCTTGGTCTGTCTCCTATGCTGGAGTGTACTCTGTAGTGGCGCAATCTTGGCTCACTGCAACCTCTGCCTCCTGGGTTCAAGCGATTCTCCTGCCTCAGCCTCCCAAGTAGCTGGGATTACAGGCATACACTATCAAGCCTGGCTAATTTTTGTATTTTTAGTAGAGGCGGGGCTTCCCCATGTTGGCCAGGCTGGCCTTGAACTCCTGACCTCAAATGATTTGCTTGCCTCAGCCTCCCAAAGTGCTGGGATTAGAGGCATGAGCCACCGTGTCTGGCCAATTTATTTTCTTTTGAATTGCATTTAAATGCTGTCAGGTTAAAGTTTTGAAAGGATGGCGATTATTAAAAAGTCAGGAAACAACAGACGCTGGCGAAGCTGTGGAGAAATAGGAACACTTTTACACTGTTGGTGGGAGTGTAAATTAGTTCAACCATTGTAGAAGACAGTGTGGCAATTCCTCGAGGATCTAGATCCAGAAATACCATTTGACCCAGCAATCCCTTTACTGGGTATACACCCAAAGGATTATAAATCATTCTGCTATAAAGACACATACACATGTATGTTTATTGCAGCACTATTTACAAAAGCAAAGATTTGGAACCAACCCAAATGCCCATCAATGATAGACTGGATGAAGAAAATGTGGCACATATACACCATGGAATACTACGTAGCCATAAAAAGAATGAGTTCATGTCCTTTGCAGGGAAATGGATGAAGCTGGAAGCCATCATTCTCAGCAAACTCACACAGGAACATAAAACCAAACACTGCATGTCCTCATTCATAAGTGGGAGTTGAACAATGAGAACACATGGACACAGGGAGGGGAACATCACACACCAGGGCCTGTCCGGGGGTAAGGGAAAAAGGGAGGGAAAGCATTAGGACAAAAACCTAATGCATGTGGGGCTTAAAACCTAGATGACTGGTTGATAGGTGCAGCAAACCACCATGGTACATGGTACGTGTATACCTATGTAACAAAACTGAACATTCTGCATAGGTATCCCAGAACTTAAAGTGAAATAAAAAATTAAAAATTAAAAGATTTAAAAAAATATATACTTTTTTTGAGACAGAGTTTCGCTTTGTCACCAGACTGGAGTGCGGTGGCATGATCTCAGCTCACTGAAACCTCTGCCTCCCCGGTTCAAGCGATTTTCCTGCCTCAGCCTCCTGAGTAGCTGGGACTACAGGCGCACGCCACCACACCTGGCTAATTTTTGTATTGCTAGTAGAGACGAGGTTTCACCATGTTGGCTAGGAAGGTCTCGATCTCTTGATCTCGTGATCCACCCGCCTTAGCCTCCCAAAGTGCTTGGATTACAGGCGTGAGCCACCGCACCCACCGCAAAAAATGCAAAAAATGAAAATTCTTTTTTTTTTTTTTTAAGATGGAGTCTCGCTCTGTTGCCCAGGCTGGAGTGCAGTGACGCCAGATCGGCTCACTGCAACCTCCGCCTCCTGGATTCAAGCGATTCTCCTGCCTCAGCCTCCTGAGTAGCTGGGATTACAGGCGTGCACCACTACGTCCAGCTAATTTTTGTATTTTTAGTAGAGATGGGGTTTCCTGTGTCAGCCAGGATGGTCTCCATCTCTTGACCTCGTGATCCGCCCACCTCGGCCTCCCAAAGTGCTGGGATTACAGGTGTGAGCCACTGCGCCAGGCCAAAAGAAAGAAAATTCTAATAAAAAATAATAAAAGAATGCAATGAACTGCTTCCATGGGTACTTAAAGTACTAAACCTGTTACAGTTCAAAGCATTCATTATTGATTTTCTTGAACAGATTTTGTCCATACAAAATATTTATGCTAATCTCCCATTCCATAGGTTGCCTCTTGATTTTGTTGATTATTTCCTTTGTTATGCACAAGCTTTATTTCACTTGTTCATTTTTGATTTTCTTGTCTGTGATTTTGATGTCATGTCCAAAAAAATCATTGTCAAGATAAATGTCAAGGAGCTTTCTCCTTCAGTTTTCTAGGCATTTTATGGTTTCAGGTCTTACATTTAATTCTTTAATCCATTTTGAGTTAATTTGTGTGTATTATAAAGGTCCAGTGTCATTCTTTTACAAAACACATAAGTGTTTAATATCCAAAATATATTAGAGACTCATGCAACTGAAATGCAAGAAAACAAATAGCCAATTTTTAAAAATGGGTGAAGGACACGAACAGACATTTCTCAAAAAGACATACAAATGGCAGACAAGCAGCCGGGCGTGGTGGTGGGCACCTGCAGTCCCAGCTACTCGGGAGGCTGAGGCAGTAGAATGGCGTGAACCCGGGAGGTGGAGCTTGCAGCGAGCCGAGATTGCACCACTGCACTCCAGCCTGGGCAACAGAGCGAGACTCTGTCTCAAAAATAAATAAATAAATAAATAAATAAATAAATAAGTAAACCAACAACAACAACAAAACAAATGGCCAACAAGCATATAAAAAATGCTCAGTGTCACTAATCATCAGGAAAATGCAAATCAAAACCACAATGAGGTATCACCTCAGCATTTCTTAGGATTGCTATTATTAAGAAAAGAAAACAAGTCTTGGCAAGGCTGTGGAGAAAAGGAAACCCTTGCGCACTGTTTTTGGGACTGTAAACTGATGTAGCTCTTATGGAAAACAATGTGGTGGTTACTTTAAAAATTAGAAATAGTGGCGGGGCGCGGTGGCTCACGCCTGTAATCCCAGCACTTTGGGAGGCCGAGTTGGGCGGATCACGAGGTCAGGAGATCAAGACCATCCTGGCTAACACTGTGAAACCCCGTCTCTACTAAAAATACAAAAACAAAATTAGCCGGGCGTGGTGGCAGGTGCCTGTAGTCCCAGCTACTCGGGAGGCTGAGGCAGGAGAATGGCTTGAACCCGGGAGGCGGAGCTCGCATTGAGCCGAGATCGCACCACTGCACTCCAGCCTGGTCGACAGAGCGAGACTCCGTCTCAAAAAAAAAAAAAAAAAATTAGAAATAGAACTTCCGTATCATCTAACAATGCCACTTCTGGGTATATATTCAGAGGAACTGGAATCAGGATCTCAAGGAGATATCCACACTGCCACGTTCACTGCACCATCATCCACAACAGTTAAGATGTATAAACACCCTAAATGTCCATCAATAGATGAATGGAGAAAGAAATCACAGTTTGTACTGTGAAAGAAAAACTAATCTCGGGACCCCAAAATTAGTAAGCCAAGGGAAAAGTCAGTCTGGGAACTATGTCAGACAAACCTGCCTCCCTTTTGATTCCTAAATAAAATAGCCTACAAAGATAAAAAGCTACATACCTCCCTCACATTTTGCCCATAAGGAAATTCCTTGTGGACAAAGGACAGACAGAACTCAAAATCATTCCTCTGAGGCTCACCTGAGACAAATGCATATCTGATTGCTTCCTCTGCCCTATTGTTTATGTACAAAGCAGATTCACTGAGCCAGACTAAATTGTGTAGTTAGTGGAAGGCGTATCAAGGACTCAAAAGAATGCAACCTTTTTGTCCCATGTCTCTTCTAACCTGGAAGCCTCTTCTAAACCTGGAACCTGGTGGGGGTGGGGGGAGTCGAAGTAAGGTGGAGTTGTCCCACCTTACTGGACCAAATCAATGTACATATTACATATGTTGATTGATGTCTTATGTCTCCCTAAAATGTATAAATCCAAGCTGTGCCCCGACCACCTTGGGCACATGTCATCAGGATCTCCTGAGGCTGTGTCACCGGTGCATCCTTAAACCTTCGTGAAATAAACTTCCTAAATTGACTGAGATCTGTCTCAGATATTTTGGGTTCATAGTACATACAATGGAATATTATTCAGCCTGAAAAAAGAAGGAAATTCTTCCAGTTGCAACAAAATGAGTGGACCTGCAGGGCATAATGCTAGGTGAAATAAGCCAGACACAGAAAGGAAATACTGCATGATCTCACTTATATGTAGAAGCTAAAATAATCACACAAGTAGAAATAGAGAATAGAATAATGGTGATCAGGGGCTAGGGGTTGGGGTAAATGGGAAGGTGATGATTAAGGGGTACGAAGTTTCATTTATGCAAGGTAAATAAGTTCTGGAGATCTGCCATACAGCATAGTGCCTACGGCTAAGAACACCTTACTGTGTAATTAAAATTGCTAAGAAGGTAGATCTTATGTTAAGTGTTCTCACCAAACAAAATGAAACAGTAACAATAATAAAGAGTCAATAGGAAACTTTGGGAGGTGATGGATATATTTATGGCCATGATAGTGATGTTGGTTTCATAGGCATATTCTTATTCTAAACTCATCAAGACAAATACATTCAATATGTACAACTTTTAAAAAGCAGTAAAACAGAAACAAAATATTTATTCTAGATTTTCCGTGGCAGCAAAGGCTGCCCACTCATCCTCAGGTCTGTCAAAACTTTAGCCAAGTGAATGTGTTTATAACTTATGCAAATCAGGTACCTGAAAATCTGCTCAAATATTTTGATAAAGATAACTACAAGCCCAAGTTTTCATCTTTCCATTTTCTTTGCTACCCAAAATGTAAAAAAAAATCATCGATAAATTAGAGATATTGACACCAGTAACCAATTAGAATCTGACTCTGCCTAAATATTGGCTTTTCTCTCTGCAGTCTTGGATTTTCTTCACCATCAACGGCTCATTTTATGTCTCACGTGGGGTTGTTTCTCACAAAGAACCAAGTAGAAACATAAAATGTGGCTGTATTTGTGGCTTCTAATGACAGAGATTCCACATGCTATGAACAAGCTATCTGGAAAGGAGAAAGGAGAGTGGGATCCCCAGTGTTCACTGAGGGGATGGGGTCTTCTGGAGCTGAGGATGGCCTAATCTTGAAGGGTCTTCAAAGCCATGCAGAGAACCAAGTGATGTCATTGGCTTGAAGTAAGAGTCAGTGTTACAGACAACTAGTGAGACTCACAGGTGAGTTCCTCATGGAGATACTGCGAAGGCATCATCTTCCATTATGCCGTGGATTAGAATTTCTCCTAGAACTTGTCTCCAAAAATTGTGGTTCTTTCCTTGATTAACAGGTGTGTTTTTAAATTGTAGCCAGTTGGGATCTTATGACTGACTCTTGCTCCTTATTCACTCTGCCTACCAAGAACGCAGTACTAAATTGCTCTACTAAAATCAACAGCTGTAAAAGTTTTCATGGCCTGTCATTGTGGGTACCAACTCACTCTAGCTTTTTCTTACTAATCAATCCTCATTTTATCTTTGTCCTAATTTCCTTTGTTTAAACTTAGAGTGCATCCAAAGTGACATAAATTGTCTAACATTTAAAATGATATGGAATATAAATATATGGAAAAGCCTTTTTTTCCCCTTTCCTTTTTTTTCTTTTTCCTTTGAGATGGAGTCTCACTCTGTCACCCAGGCTGGAGTGCAATGGCGTGATCTCGGCTAATTGCAACTTCTGCCTCCTGGGTTCAAGCGATTCTCCAGCCTCAGCCTCCTGAGTAGCTGGGATCACAGGCATGCGCCACCACTCCCGGCTAATTTTGTATTTTTAGTAGAGAAGGAGTTTCTCCGTGTTGACCAGGCTGGTGTCGAACTCCCAGCCTCGGGTAATCCACCCGCCACGGCCTCCCAAAGTGCTAGGATTACAGGTGTGAGCCACCGCGCCCAGCCAGCATTTGTACTTCATAAAGTTAAAAAAAAAAAAAAAGTTATCTGTTTATCTTTGTGCTTGTAATATAAATGAACCAGTGGCACTTTGGAATGCCACATGCAGAATGAATAGAAAAAGTTTAAAATATTGGTGCAGGAGGTCAATCAGAAAGATATATATCCATTAGAATATCTAGATATGAGATGATAAAGACATGGAATAAAGTAATAGCTCTTTATTTCTTCCCAAAAATGTTCAATTGCTCTCCTTGAAGTATATCCATTTTCTAAATACTTCCTCTTTATTCTCCTGTAATTCAGTAGGATTTAAGACCAACAGAAGTATTGTGTATTTCTAGTGTAGTCAGTCTGGATTCAAGTCATTTAGAATGTTATACACAGTTGGTTCAACCACCCTACTATGTCTGGAATTGTCTTCTCCCCAGTTGCAACTTTTCTCTCACTTATTCTCTGCCTCCATTGGGAACACAGCTGGGGTGAGAATGGGAATGTTTGCAGGGTGATCCAAACCAGGCCTGAGCATGGTTCTGCCATGGCTTTACCCCACGAAGGCTCCAGTCACACCCACGCCCAAGGAATCTGTAGGGGACATGGAAATCCAGCTTAAAGAAGTGGCATTTATGTTTCTGCATGTTTGTTTACTAGGGATGTAACACGGCCATTTAGAGGAGACTAGCACTTTGCAGCAGGCTCCTTGAAAGAAGAGATGGACCCCTTCATCGCAGTTAACCTGCCATGCCAAACAAACATGTTCATGGGCATCACTTTCTCAGTCCAACAGGGCCGTTGGAGCACAGAAGCCAGGCAGACACAAGCGGTATGTTGAAGTCAGAAGTGGTCTGATTCAGGGCCAGGGTGGGGGTGATGTAATGAAGTGCCGAGGGCACAGACCTTAGGGAGACACTCACTGTCACGGTTGTGCAAGTGCAGCATCTCCTTAAATCTTGTCCCCTGTGTGTCTTGTCTTACCCTAGTTCCAAAACACATCTAACTTTTCAGCAAGAGAGAACAGATGTCAGTCATATAAATAGCAGAAATGAGAGAGCCAAGAAAAAGAACAGCTTTGTGTTGAAAAGAAGTGTGGTTAAGAATACACAGCATTTGAGGTAACAAGACTTCCTCTGGATAGGGACTAGGGTTTTCTCTGCATCCAGGCTGGGAATCCCGAGCTCAGAAGAGATGGTGGAGATGTAGGGTTCAGAGACTTTTGCTTGCTTTTCCTAACTCTTGCTAGCCAGAAACACTCTGCAGTTTCACTTTTTTAACCTTTGGATTCATCCCATTTTAGTCCTCTTCTATGCCTTAAAAACACTGAAGATGAGAAGATCAAACCTGATGAAAGTCATGTTCTGTTTTCTGTGCTTTCATCATCCAACATCAATAGACTCTGACGCTGTGGCCTTGTGTGGTGCGTCTGCGTTCGTTGTGAGTTTCAAAGCTGAAGAAAGTTAGTGGGTGTTGGCATGTTCTCACTCATAGGTGGGAATTGAACAATAAGAACACATGGACACAGGAAGGGGAACATCACACACCGGGGCCTGTCGTGGGGTGGGGGGAGCGGGGTATAGCATTAGGAGATATACCTAATGTAAATGACGAGTCACTGGGTGCAGCACCCCAACATGGTGCATGTATATATATGTAACTAACCTGCACGTTGTGCACATGTACCCTAGAACTTAAAGTATAATAATAAAAAAAAGAAAGTTAGTGGGTGTCTTTCCCACTCCTGTTCTTCAGTTGCGGTTTTTCAAAAGTTGGCAGACATGTTTGATAAAATTCTATCAAAGAAGTCATCATGATGACATTAGGGTGTCTTCCTTTATGTTTTTCGTCTTTATTCAGTGGTTGTGTGTGATGTTCCTTCTGCTCCATTTTTTTGTTTTGTTTTGAATTTCATGATGTACCATGCGGGAGTGACCCACAGTTCCAGATGATTGATTAAAACCCCTCAGGCTCACACTGCTCACTGTTGACACATCCCTTGAGTTTTGAATGAGATCAGTTACGTTCATCTCCACTGCATTCTGCCTTCTTGTCTTGCTCCCTTCATTATTTACTTTTCTGCCCATTCTTTTATGTTGATAACTAATCTGTGTTCTTTAATCTTATTACCCACACTAACACAGAATAACATTTTAATGTTCAATTTTTAAAACCATTCTACTTTAAGGTGTAAACTCTTTTCACCTGCTAAACAGAGCGCAGCCGTATTTCAGCTAATTAACCCACAGCATGTATACACCTGATAATTCAATCGCACATTTGGCTTACTGCCTTTTAAAGGCTGTCTTAGAGAGGGATTCCTATTAAAATTAAGAAGAGTTTTGAATTTGAAATATGATCAAGTCCTAAATGTTAGAGCTGGAGGAAAGTGTGTGCATTATTTTATTTGAACTCTTGCGTGGTATATATGGAGACCAAAGTGCTGGCACGTGCTCACTCCAGGTCTGTCAACTCAGTAGAGCCACTACCAGACTTCCAGTCTCCCAACTCCTATTCCAGGAGTTTAGCTCTGAGAAAAGAAAAACAAAACAAGACAGAAAATTGTAGTCAATGTATATAATGAACTAATTGTTCATACATTTATGCACAACATGTAAAAAGAAAGTACAATGAGCTTGACCTTAATTATATTAAATAAGTAGAAAAGAGTTCTTAAAATGTACCAAATGGCAGAATGCATCATACTGGAAAATGTATTTATTTAGTACATACCTAGGAGAAGCTTTTCAGAGAATTTGCTTAAAAGGCAGACTCTTAATACATTTTGAACATATTTCACAAAACAAGTTTATCCGAAGAAAATCTTATAGTAAAATACAAAACAGGACATTGTTAACAACACTGAACACACTGAGATAACATTCTATTACTGCTGCCGTGGAGTAGACCAGAAAAATCTGCTTATGCCATTGCCCATGATATTTATGATAATTATTTAAGAGAAGCATTAACTGGGGGAATGGACAGCATCTTATCTACTTTGTAATAGCAGTGTTTAACGGGATGTCCCTGGGTAATACAGAGGAGACACTCTAACAACAATTATTGAATCGATAGGATAAAAAACATAGAGAAACAGACATCAAGAGCTCAGAACAAATGGAAGAGCAAGGGGCCAGGATGTAAGGAGATTAATAAGCTTTGGGGATTGGGGTGGGAAGTAAAAATAAATTTCATCTGCTTCCTCATTAATTTTCAGTAGAACCAACCCTGCTCATGAAACTGGATTAAGATTTCACGTGGAAACTATCAAGTTAGAGGACTTCAAGAGTGTCAGTGTGGTGATGCACTCACAGGACAGGGCAAAGCTAGCACTCATGTTCAACACTTGAGATAGTCTCTACTGGGAAAATGTGGGATAATGTCCTCAATCCAATTTGAATGGGAACCATGTTGAGAATTCCTGGTACATTGTATATAGAAAAATAATTAATACTTCCTAGTAGGCATTTAATATCTTATAGATATTATAGTAGAGGTTTTGAATACTCATTTATGTCTGACAATATTCAAATAATATATTTAAATATAGCAGCTATAATTTATTGCCCGTGTGCCCAGACAGTGGACAGTGTACCAAGAAGCACTGTAATCAATATTTTATATGAATAATCTGATTTATTTTTCTCACTAAACTCCATGAAATATTTTATTCACTTTATTTTGAAGAAGAGGGATGAAACAGTTGCAAAGCATCTATTTGTTTATAAATGTATCACAAAGATATTCAGCCCACACTCAGCAGAAGTTTGAACCACTGGGGGACAAGATGAGAAGATCTTTCATTTTGAGACGTGTCCAGGAGCATTTCCCTGGACTGTGAGAAGAACCATGCTGCCTGTCTGTGCTGGGGAGGCCAGAGTTTGTCTGAACCATGAACTTGCCAGGTGCAGGCCTAGGGCTACACTCAGAGCACTCTCCAGACAGGAGAGAGAGCAGCCCTGCTCTGCCTGAACTCTGCCCAGCAGCATAGTCCAGCTGTCCCAAGAGTGCAGCTCTCAACAGTTATTCCTCCTAATGCTGTCACTGCTTTTCCAAGTGTTGGTCCTTTGGAAATTAGTTCCTGCTGTCTTATACACTTGAAGGCACATGATTTTATTTCTATAAAGAGAGGCAAAGTATAGAGTTTATACCTAGTTAAGTTGGCTTTTTCTCCAATTAATTTCACTTAAACTTTATTTTGTACTAGCTTCGTATTAAAATAAATAACTGTTTCTGGAATTTTTCACACTCAGAAAAAAATGGCATTCATATTAGAAATAACATTAGAGTATTTTGATTTAAAATAGTTTGAAACTACATTTTATTAAAATATTTGAATCCTTTAAGGCACAGCCTAGCACCTTAATAAAAAAATTGAATATCTCCCAATATTGCTGGTTATGCAACATAAATGAATAAAAGCTTACTGTAAGAAAAAAAATTCAACTTTTAGATTCAGGGGATACATGTGCAGATTTGTTACATGGGTATATTGTGGGACTCTGAGGTTTGTGTACAAATGATCTTATTACTCAGGTAGTGAGCATAGTACCCAATAGGTAGCTTTTCAACCTTTACCCTCCCTCCTTCTCTCCCCCTTCTAGGAGTCCCAGTGTCTTTTGTTCCCATCTTTATGCTCATGTGCACCCAATGGTTTGCTCCCATTTATATGTGAGAACGTGGTATTTAGTTTTCTGTTGCTTTGTTAATTCACTTAGGGTAATGGCCTCCAGCTGCATTCAGGCAGCTGCAAAAGACATGATTTTTTTTTTTTTTTTTTTTTTTTGGACGGAGTCTTGCTCTGTCGCCCAGGATGGAGTACAGTGGTGTGATCTCAGCTCACTGCAAGCTCTGCCTCCCAGGTTCATGCCATTCTCCTGCCTCAGCCTCCTGAGTAGCTGGGACTACAGGCACCCACCACCATGCCCGGGCTAATTTTTTTGTATTTTTTAGTAGAGACGAGGTTTCACCGTGTTAGCCAGGATGGTCTCGATCTCCTGACCTTGTGATCCACCCGCCTTGGGCTCCCAAAGTGCTGGGACTACAGGTGTGAGCCACCACACCAGGCCGATTTTGTTCTTTTTTATGGTTGCATAATATTCCATGGTGTATATGTACCACATTTTCTTAATTCAATCCACTGTTTATGGGCACCTAGTTTAAACCAAAACAGCATGGTACTGGTACAAAAACAGATACATAGACCAATGGAACCGAAGAGAGAACCTAGAAATAAATCCACATACCTACCACCATCTGATCTTTGACAAAGTTGATGAAAATAAGCAATGAGGAAAAGACTCCCTATTCAATAAATAGTGCTGGGATAACTGGTTAGCCATATGCAGAAGAATGAAACTGGACCCCTACATTTTACCATATACAAAAATTAACTCAAGATGGTTTAAAGATTTAAATGTAAGACCTCAAACTATAAAAATCCTAGAAGAAACTTTAGAAAATATCATCCTGGGCTGGGTGCGGTGGCTCATGCCTGTAATCCCAGCACTTTGGGAGGCCAAGGCGGGCGGATCACGAGGTCAGGAGACCGAGACCATACTGACTAACACAGTGAAACCCCATCTCTACTAAAAACATAAAAACAAAATTAGCCAGGCATGGCGGCGGGCTCCTGTAGTCCCAGCTACTCGGGAGGCTGAGGTGGGAGAATGGCATGAACCCGGGAGGCGGAGCTTGCAGTGAGCCGAGATCGCGCCACTGCACTCCAGCCTGGGTGACAGAGGGAGACTCTGTCTCAAAAAAAAAATAAATAAAAAATAAAAATAACTAAAAATAGAACCACCATTGAACTCAGTAGTCTCACTACTGGATGTCTACCCAAAGAAAAAGAAATTGTTTTATAAAAAAGACACCTGCACTGGTTCGTTCATCACAGCACTATTTACAATAGCAAATACATGAAAACCTGCCATGTTTGTTTTATGTTTTTGGAATCAGAAACACCAATCAGTCAGGGCCCTTTCTCTGCACTGTTTCTAATCATCCATCCCCATCATGGCAATACAGCCTCATCTGGCCCCAGTAACCTCCAGTTTTCACAGAGCTTCTTTTCCCATGTATCCCCTCTCATGAGAGGCTCAGCGTTAAATTCAAATGCTCTGTGTTACTGCCCACCTCCTTTGAGAGGGAAGATAGCATGAGCTCATTGAATCCTCTTCTGCGGGGTGGCCCAAAACCTGAAAATATTACGGAATATCCATAATAGGTGATTTATTGATACACCATTCCAGTTCGTGATATTACATGGCATGAGATACGTAATGGTGTTGATCTGCAATAGCAACAAAAAGTCCAAGATACTGTGCAAAACTACAGTCACCATGGTGCCTTAAGACACACCTTCATCAACCCCTCAGATGTTCCCCATTGAGACATTGCCTCAGATGATTGGTGCCTCTGATTTTCATTGAATAAACCCGCACTTTTTGCATATTCCAGAGAAAGTAATCACGAGGGTTCTGAGCTGAGGAGCATGCAGCCCACTCCTCAGGGCTACATTGTCCATCTCAGTTTTGGAAATTACCAACCATCTGGTTCCTCCCTCCCTTGAAGGAACGGGTGGTATATCTTCTGCGGGAAGCACTCCAGGAGGTGTCCCTTAGCTCATCAACAATGAGTGTTATTGCAACTTAATATGTGAAATATATTAAACACTTGTTTATTTTTCCAAACTTTTGTCCACCCTGTGTTAAGTAGAATGCCCATCTGATCAATGAAGTTCAATCATGATTTTCCAAGTAAATGAAAGACTCAGTGAGTTAGTTCAGCAGTCAGCCAATTCATCAGAAGGCAAGGTCTGTGTTTCTTCCATAAAAGTTAGACCTAAGGGGTAACAGAACTGGACCCATTCATTAGTGAGTTTTATGAAACTGTTTTCATTATGTGTGGTGATGACCACCTCACTTGCTACCTCACAGGTTTTACATACGGCAGCAACAAATGCAGCACCACACTTTTCTCTACTGGTTTTTAACGTGGGGTTCCTGAATGAGTAGTGATAGCACCACACGGGAATTTGTTATAAATGTAAATTCTCAGGCTCCCCTGAGACCTACTGAATTAGGAACTCTAGAACTGGGGCCCAGCAATCTGTATTTTAGTAAGTCCTCCTGTTAATTCCGACATACTCTGAAGTTTAAAAGCCATTGTCTCACATCTCCCCTAGACAGATATTAGTGGAGAATCTTAGTTTTACACTTGGCTGCCCTCACACGGAGCTACAGTGTGATGACTGTCATAAGCAGTGGATTCACAGGCTACTGACCCATTAGGAAGTGCTCCATTTAATCTGAAAGCAAAGCTGAATACGTGAGCACACATTACACAGGAATTTATGCCCTGCAGCATGAACAACAACAACCAAAAACAAACCTAACTTCAAATGTTTAAGTCATTGGCAATTTAGCTGACTGTATGTTCTGAGGAATCAGGCCATGAGTGAGTAAAATATAATCATAAAATATTTGATAAAATATCCAATCTCTATCTTAAAAGCAATGAAATTCTGATATTTTAGGAGAGTTTTGTTTGTTTTTTCAAATAACCAACTATAGATTGTTTGGATACAGACCTTTCGTAATACAAAATAGTTCATTCATTTTTGAATATTTCTGCTTATTTATTGCCAAATAAAAATTGCATACATTTATCATGTAAGACATGTGGTATTGGAATATGTATACATTTTGAAATGGCTAAATTGAGCTAATTGACATATGCATTACATCACATACTTTTCTGTGGTGAGAAGACTTAAAATCTACTGTCTTGGCAATTTTCATCAGTATAATTTTTTATATTAACTATAATATAGTCACCATGTTGTACAAGAGATCTCTTGAACTTATTCCTCCTCTCTAACCTAAATTGTGTATCTTTTTTTTTTTTTTTTTTTTTTTTTTTGAGACAGAGTCTCGCTCTTTCACCCAGGCTGGAGTGCAATGGCGTGATCTCAGCTCACTTCAACCTCTGCCTCCCAAGTTCCCACCATTCTCCCACCTCAGCCTCCCAAGTAGCTGGGACTACAGGCACCTACCACCATGCCTGGCTAATTTTGTTTTTGTATTTTTAGTAGAGACGGGGTTTCACTGTGTTAGCCAGGATGGTCTCGATCTCCTGACCTTATGATCCGCCTGCCTCGGCCTCTCAAAGTGCTAGGATTACAGGCATGAGCCACCGTGCCCAGCCTAAAATGGCTAAGTCTTTAGGAGAGGAAGAGTGAATAGTCATTCCTCCTTTCATCTCATATTTTAAACAATACTTTCCTTCCTTAAGTTAAAAACAAATCTTTTCCCCCTTAAGTTAAAGATTTAGCAGGTGTCGTGGTTAGGACACAGGGTGATTGATGTGTGAGAGGAGATGAGTGGGAAGACTCAGGGTGGGGCCGACTCTTTTCCAGACTGTGTGCAGGTAGAAATGCCATCAGTCATCGCTTCCTCTGGACAGACTAATTTTTGTCTGTCTCTTCATAGATGCCCATGAGGTTACTCAAAGCCCCATATCGGATTTCCCTGCCCAGGACCTCTGTTTCCAGGACTCTTCAGCCCACATCTCTGACCCACCGTTGCCCTTGCACCGGGTTTGTAATGCTGATCACTTCCAATCAGCAAACTGTAGTGCTTGAGGGCCTCCTGTCCTCTGCCCTTGAGTCAGTCGTTTCCATCTCAAAAATAATCACAAGGGAACTGAGACACACAGCCAGTGTCTTATGACATCATTTTCCCCCTTCCTTCCTATTTCCCCACCAGGAACAGGCCAATATAGTTGCTGCTTATTAAAAGTTTGTGGGAAGAAAAATAAACGCAGACGGTAGTTTCCCTAAATCCTAAATGTTTCTACAGACTCTCTTTGAATTATCAATTTGGGAAGAGCGTTTAGAAGCTGGACCTGGAACTTTCCAGGAAGCTGGCTTAAACCATCCTTACCTGTCTGTCCACTACTAGAGCAGCCTCCAGAACATCTGCTTCAGAGGCCAGGAGCGCTCTGCGCAGCGGTGCAATCTTCAGGTTGTTGGCCCAGGAAATCTTCCAGGACTCGCCATTCCCATTCTTCAAACACCTTCAGGCAGTGGCTGCATATTGTTCCCACTCAACTTGCCCTCCTATCTTGGAAATATATTTTCATTTTCTTATGCTTTTATTTAATTGTCTGTGTTCACGCTGTTTTACCTCAGTACGTAGCTGCAAACCTTGTAGAACGATACCATATAAAATAGTTAACATCCTCTTGGCAGCACTCTCAACCTCTCCATCTCACTGAGAAACAAGTTGACATACCAGGTTGGAGATCAACACAAACTAACCAAGAAGCTACACTGTTCTAAATTAAATGTTCATCACACTTTAACCGAGATTGCTACCTAAGTAACTTTAATTGCTGAAGTTGCCTTCATGGAAAGCCCTCAGGTAACAGCAATTATAAAGGACACATTTATGACCAGGTAAGAGTCTATCCACATCAGCAGAGAACACAATGACTGTTGTTTAAGTACTTCAGTGTAACAGAAACAGGACACACACTGATGCATGCATTAAAATGCTTATCATCCATGACCTGTGACGGTATCTGATTTGGGCAGCTACATTTGGGGATTGGAGGGTAGGTGACTCAACCAATATGTGGCTTAATCGGGGCACGATAGAGTAGAGAAACACCCTGAAAGGCCAGAGTGAAGTGAATCAAAAGACGTTCTGTGATTTTGGGGGCACCAGGATTCTCCCATGGTCCCTGGCTTCACTTTGACACTGAAGTCCAATGGTTCTGATATTCCCAGAACATCTGTTGCAGCAGTTAGAATCACCTATCTTAGTTCTCCCTAATCCACAGCATGTGCCTGCTGAATTAACTGCTGTTGACATCGAAGTGCTTATTTCAAAAGACTCTTCTGTGTGCAAAGTTCAATCAGAAAAACACAGCGTAGACTTCTGCCTTCCTTCACCAACCTCAGTCTAAGGATAGGTTATTTCTGATCGAAAAATCTCCTCAGACTTGTGACTCCTCCAGTGTAAACAAATGTTGCTGTTCCTTTAGGACAAATGATGGATTGACTTTATGTTTGATGCTATCGGGCCAGAAAATACTTGCTTGTAAATGTGACATTCAAGGTGTTATCTTGGTCAGCCTATGGATAAGATGGGGACAGAAGGCGTACCAGGCTTTCCTCTTTTCTACAGATCCTTTTTGCTAGAGCTATTCCTTTTCCTTGGGATCCTGGCAGTTCACCATCACCATTTAGTTTTCTAGAAAATCCATTAATTATCACAAATATTATTTACTTTCTCAGGGTTATGCTAGAATATTGTTTAAATCTGTAACAAAAGAAACTCAGGCTCCTTGTGACGCTTACATGTGTAACAGAGGAGTTTTGTAAAAAAATCAATCTGTAGGCATTGATCAGAAATGCAATATGCTACAAAGTTTACCTCTACTGTCTGATACCCTATCATTAATCTACAACAGGATTGTTTAAAAACTGTTACAAACTATTAGTACCCCATTCTGTAATCTCCCTCTCTCTGTCTCTGTCTCTTTCTCTCTCTCTCTCTCTCCCTGCTAACCCCATGACATTTATTCAGTAATGACAGCCACAATCACCCTTGGTTCTTTTGGCTGCAGTTTAAAATCAACCGTGACTGAAGGTAGGATTATTTAGCAGGAGAAACGTTGGCCTAGAAAATGTGTGTATCCAGATATTTAACTTCCTAATGTTTTCCATTCATTAACAAAACTTATATACATTATTTGCCACAACCTATTAGTTTTTGCAGTCTGAGAAATAGAGACAAGAGTTATATGATCAAATCCCGACTGCCAGGACTTGAATAAGTTATTTAGAACCTCAAGTTAGTTTGTTTCTTTTAAATTTTTGTAGAATTAGCTGACTTTCGGGTTGCCCGTGCACATTAGAACAAAGGAGTATAAAATTGGCAGAGGAAAGAATAGAACATGAGGCAGCACTGTCTCATTCTTATTTACTCAGGGCACAGCCCAGTGACTTTAGGCACTCAATAATCATTTTCTGTATAAATGAATCAATATTTGTGGTTAACACTTTATAAATGTCAACTGTTATTATCGTTTAATACATCATTGAATGTCTTATTACTCTTAATAGAATTTCAAGAAAGATACAATTAAGTTAAATCAGGATTTATTTGGGATAAGCTAAGAATTATTATTATTATTATTTGAGAGATAGTCTCGCTCTGTCGCCCAGGCTGGAGTGCAGTGGCACGATCTCAGCTCCCTGCAAGCTCCGTCTCCTGGGTTCATGCCATTCTCCCGCCTCAGCCTCGTGAGGAGCTGGGACTACAGGCACCCGCCAGCACGCCCGGCTAATTTTGTTTTTGTATTTTTAGTAGAGACAGGGTTTCACTGTGTTAGCCAGGATGGTCTTGATCTCCTGACCTTGTGATCCACCCGCCTTGGCCTCCCAAAGTGCTGGGATTACAGGTATGAGCCACCGCGCCCGGCCATTATTGGCCTTAATTTACAATCATGGATATACCATAAAAAGAGTATTAGTGTTTTAGAAGTACTGTATCCATTTGAAGAATGACGGGTGACTAAATGGTCATGGGTCTTCCTCCTCATGTCTTGCTGTGTGCTGTTCCGACTCTCCTGCAATATGGATCAGACTCTGAGCCTATCGTATGGTGAGACTCCCAGGTGGATGCTATGTCTAAATACGATGGGTGGTTATGTGTGCACAACCTATGGCATGTACACCACCATACAATATCTGTTACCCCTTAGCCTCCACAATGACGTAACCCATCCACATTAAGCAAAAGTCTCTCTTCATCTTTTATTTTTCTAATTTCCCTCTTTCCTATTTCTCTCCTTCAGTACAGCTTTTCCCTTTGATGCATTGTATTTTTCTCCTGCTATACCTTAGGACAGCTAGTGGTATTTTTGGATGCTATTTACCCAAACATGGAGTATCTTAGGGTTAGGAATGTTTTAGGGTCTTGGTCTATATTTAATATAATCATGTGATAAATATATATCTAGTATCAAAATGGGTAGAAGCATTGAGGTTACAAAGCTTGAATCTTACATAGTATTTGATGACCTCAGTGTCGAAGAGAACAGGCAAACGAGTAAGTTGGTGGCCCCAGCATGTCGGGTAAGGGCTGGAATTCTGAAAGTAGTGAGGAAACCCAGAGGAGCAGGTGTGCAGAGTGATGAACCTCAGTAAACATGTGGTTAGCAGCGAGCTAGCACTCATTTTATTTTGAAAGAGATTTTCCTATCATGCCTTTCCCCCAGATAAAATTATTCAATGGCTCCCCACTAGTAAAAGAAAAACTTCAGCCAAATTAAATTTGAAGGAGTTTAATTGAGCATTGAATGATTCTCAAAATTAGGCAGCCTTCCCAGCCAGACTAGGCTCCCAGACTCCAGCTCAGCCACATGTTGGAAGAAGATTTATGGACAGAAAAAGGAAAGTGAAGTACAGAAAATGGAAGTGAGGCACAGAAACAGCCGGATTGGTTACAGCTTGGCATTTACCTTATTTGAACATGGCTCGAACAGTTGGCTACATTTGATTGGCCAAAACTCGTTGATTGGCACTAGGGTAGGCTACATTCTGCTTACACTTCACTTGTTACAGTTCACAATGTACAGAAAAACCTTTAGGCCAAACTTAAATATGTAAGGAGGCAGCTTTAGATGAAACTTGATTTAATACCATGTTCCCTTGAGTAAATTTTAAAATGTATTTCTTTTCAATGTTATCCAATGTCATCTTCCACGTGCTCCCCTTCCCCTGACATCCTCCCAGTCACATCTACTGCCTGCTGCTACCCACAGCCAAATATCCCTCTGTATGGACCTTCACATATGCTTCTTATCTGCGAGTCCTGACCCTTTAGCTCATACCTAAAGGGACCTTTCCTCACATTTATGTAGATGGAATGCTGCAAATCTCGGGTTAAATGCTACTTCTCCAGGAAGCTGGCTTTTATGCCCCCATAGTGATTTCTCCATAGAGAAATGTTTACTTCTCCTTACCATTTGTGCCAGAAAATGTGAGACTCACTAGAACAACCCTGAAACAATGGGTTTGGAAAGAGGAAGAATTAAATTAAAAGGCCAACAATGAGGAAACTTTGATTTCTGGGGGGCCACAGGGTCACCCCGATATAAAATTGCATCTGCGTTGTGATCAGTTTCTAAAGGTAAAAGCCACCCATGGAATTCGGAAATAGTGATAGACCCAGCCAATGGAATTGAGAAACAGTGATAGACCCAGCCAATGGAATTCAGAAATAGTGATAGACCAGCTTCTAAAGAGTTGATCTATTGGATGTACAGGGAAGTGCAAAAAAAAAAAAAAAAAGGAAAAAGTGAAATATATAATCCCTTGGTTCTTGTTATAATAGCTAAACTGAGAGAAAAAAAGGGTGCTGACACCAACCTCAGATTTTGGTCAGTCTGAGATATGGCCACTAGTCTCAAAGCCATCCTCGAAGGGAAAAAATATGCTGCAATATGCTCTGAAACATCTGGTCATCGAAAAAAGAGTCCAGGTAAGACAGGAAAAATCAAGAAACTACTGAAACCAGGGGTGCAGCATGACGAAGTTATATCAACAGTTTATGGAAGAACCTTTACTGAAATAAATGTAGGAGTAATTAATTCAGAGTCAAGTTTCTTTGGTTTTTGAATACTGCAGAATAGAAAAGCATGTTTGGGTTGATACAAGATCCACAGCTCACTATGGAACAATCATAGATCACCACACATGATCCAGACACATAGCAGGTTATTCCCTAGGGAACAATTAGCCTACGAGGCTAAATAAAAGACAGTATAAAGTTGTTTACCATGAGGAGGACTATCCTATTTCCCCTATAAATGCCCATTGGAACATCCCAGGTGAAGGGGCTGGTATGTTTTGTGTGCAAGCCATGCTGGATTGGCTTTATGATGCTCAGGATATTCATCCACTGTTTGTTTCCCTTATGCAGGGCATGGTTAATGCTATGGTTAAGGGGCCCCCTTTGTATAATCACTCAGTGTAGCTTTATTGCTGCAAAATCAAGCAACAGTCCAAAGAGCCCTATGGATTTGCTATCTCTGCTTCCCCTTATGTGTCTTAGAGATACACACAACAACAACAAAACATAATTAACAAGAAAATGGAGAGAGAAGAGAATCAAGAGATTCATTTTAGCAGGGTGGAAAACTTTAGATGACAACAAATTGAATAAATAAAGTAAACGTTAATGGTGTTGAAACAAAGGTCTGAATGCAGTGCTATGGAAGGTTGCAGGGACCAACAGGAACCATTGCTGATCCCCCTTTGGCCGGTTTCCCCATTACAGGGCCCTACACAAGTCTATTTGTGTCAGTTTGGAGTAATTTTAAAGGCCAGAAAACAAAGATTCCAATGAGGAACCCAGCCTGGAATCACCTGGACAATGGTCAGGCAGATTAATCAAGATAAAGTTTATGGAGGGGCCAGAGTCCCATAGCTGAACCCCTTGCCGTTTGAGTGGCAATTACTAGCTTGTGATCAGACTTTAATTGAAATGGACTCTATAACTGAAGGACACAAATTAATCTTGAAACCTAAAATATGATCATGGCTTGAGTGATAGTGAAGAAAGGCTTTAATAGGAAGGACAATAAACAGAAAATTTTCGTAGTCAAATGGAATTGGTTTATGGGGACATGCTACCAGGGTGTTTTAGTCCCTTTCTGCTGCTATAACAAACTACCTGAGACTGGGTAATTTATAAAGAACAGAATGGGCCTTTGCGGCTTTGCCTCGTGGAAATGATTTTTCACAGTTCTGTGGACCAGGAAGTCTAAGATCAAGGCTAGTGGAGTTTGTGCCAGGTGAGGACCCATTCCTCATAGTTGGTGGCATCTAGGTGTCCACACATGGCAGAAGGTGAAAGACCAAAGGCCTCAGCTAGATCCCCCCAGTCCTTTTTGTTCTGTTTTGTTTTTGAGTCTCACTCTGTTGCCCAGGCCGGAGTGCAGTGACATGATTTTGGCTCACTGCAAGCTCCGCCTCCTGGGTTCACACCATTCTCCTGCCTCAGCCTCCCAAGTAGCTGGGACTACAGGCACCCGCCACCATGCCTGGCTAATTTTTTTGTATTTTTGTAGAGGCAGGGTTTCACTGTGTTAGCCAGGTTGGTCTCCATCCCCTGACCTTGTGATCCGCCCGCCTCGGCCTCCTAAAGTGCTGGGATTACAGGTGTGAGCCACTGTGCCTAGACACCCAGCCCTTTTATAAGATGCTAGTCCATTCTTGAGGACAAAGCTCTCATGACTTAGCCACTTTCTAAAAGGTCCCACCTCTTAATACCACCACAATGGGGATTAAATGTCAACATATGAACTTCAAGGGACATCCAGATCATAGCACAGGTCAATGTAAATTTATCCAGCGTGTTCACAGGCAGAGCGACTCTTTTTCCCCTAGGATGGACTTTGGGACCACCTGGGGGTTATGCAGAGGGCAATGGAAAACTGGCCTATGGAGGGCTTGCCTTGTGGAAATGATTACAGGAATTTGAGGGGTGCATTGAAGTGGGACATGCCAATGCCTATCAGAAACCCCCCTTCTAGGATTAGGAGGTACTTGGAGCCAGCAAGAGGATATCCTGGTGTGCTCGCTTGAGATGGCCACTGGGTTCACGTAATGAGTGAATATTGTGAGGCTGCAGCAGCCCAGAGATGGGCTGAATTACATTTATTCCTTTGTACCTTCTGAGGCACAAAATGCTCGTAAAGATTCTTCTTTTTGTTAACAAGAGAGACACAGACTATAGATGGCTATGGAGCAGAGAAGCTGGGAGGAAGGCCCTGTAAGCCGAATGCATGACATTAGTCCTGGGGGGTGGACGAAGGGGTATAGACAGGAACGAGACACTTGCTCGAGACTTGGCTTTGCTTACCAAGAAACAGATGCAAATGATCAGAGACAACGGAACAGATTATTCTGCACCAATTTGAATGAACAAGTCATATTTTCTTAGTTCAGGAAACACTTTTGTCCTAACAGTAATGGTTTGATAGAGAATTGAAATGGACAATTAAAACATTGGTCATCGGCTGGGTGCGGTGGCTCATGCCTATAATCCTGGTACTTTGGGAGGCCAAAGCAGGCGGATCACCTGAGGTCGGGAGTTCGAGACCAGCCTGACCAACATGGAGAAACCCCGTCTCTACGAAAAATACAAAATTAGGGCTGGGCACGGTGGCTCAAGCCTGTAATCCCAGCATTTTGGGAGGCAGAGGCGGGAGGATCACGAGGTCAAGAGATCGAAACCATCCTGGCTAACACAGTGAAACCCCGTCTCTACCAAAAATACAAAAAAATTAGCCAGGCTTGGTGGCGGGCACCTGAAGTCCCAGCTACTCCGGACGTTGAGGCAGGAGAATGGCATGAACCCGGGAGGTGGAGCTTGCAGTGAGCCGAGATGGAGCCACTCTGCACTTCAGCCTGGGCAACAGAGTGAGACTCTATCTCAAAAAAAAAAAAAAAAAATTAGCTAGGTGTGGTGGCACATGCTTGTAATCCCAGCTACTCCGGAGGCTGAGGCAGGAGAATCGCTTGAACCTGGGAGGCAGATGTTGCAGTGAGCCAAGATCGTGCCGTTGCACTCCAGCCTGGGTAACAAGAACAAAACTCCATCTCAAAAAAAAGTAAAATAAAATAAAATAAAAAATTTGGTCATCTAAAATGGGGATAAAAATAGGCATGAAGGGCTGCCTTATATGTTTTCTTGAGTGTGTGCTCACATTCAAAATGAGGGCGCCAAGCGGGTGGTCCCACTAGATAGATTCCTCCACTTTTCTGAGGGTCCTAAGGAAGAGGTAGGGCAAATGTTGTGATGAGTATACAATTCTTCTTACAAAGGAGTTGTGATTACAGCTTTCTTTCTTCCCCACATCACCTCAAATTTCTTTTACCTACCTGCTATGGTGGTCTCGGGCCCAGGGCTGCAAAATACCAGAAGGAGGGATAATTCCTAAGTAAAAGCTGTAACTGTGCTTCCTAAGGACCAGATGGGGTAGATTGTGTCTTTACCCCATCTGGCAAGACTGAGGTTGACAGGAAATGCAGATGTATTGCTTAGTGGTTGACACGCCCCCTAGTTCTGTACCTCATCCTATATGAATGGGAGTCCACTGAGTGGAAGGCACTCGCTAAACTTGTATTGCTGCCAGGAATCTAGACCAGCACAATGGCTGAACCTAATGTGCTTTCTAAATGTGGAAAAGCTTAGAAACTCATAACTGGTGAGAAGAAGAAACACTAGTAGATTATAACAATGAATGTCTGGGTTACACAATGAGGAAAATTCAATATTATATTAATACTTTAAGAGGGGCTGAAGGCAAGAGATGATATTGTCTCTTAGCTCAGCGATTCCAGATGCTGGAAAGAGTGAAGCCATATATTGCTGAAAGCACTCCTGCTTGTGGAACTTGAGAGAATTGAACAGAAGCTGCGAACGTGAGTGATGTCACCCTGGGAGACATTTTGGTTACACCATATGATGATGGGCTGGACTAATTATTAATGACTGAATGAGATTCTAGTAATATGTCAATATTTGTTACTCTTATTTTTCAGATTATTTTACCATATTGAAATATGGTCAAACACTGGCATAATCGGTAAAATTATAATACTGGTAATGACAGTCAAATATACTGGGAAATTGAGTTAAAAGCTTTTTATTCGTACTCTACAGTAGCTCCTCCACATTTTAGACATATAAAAGAACCATAGTCAAAAGCCACAGGGTCACCTGTTGTGTAATGAAGAATTAGACTGGCCTTTGTCCCTGGCCCCTGGAAGACTCTCAAACTCTTGGGAATTCCTGAGTAATAGGAGTGTCATTGTTATTCATGAGCTCCTCGGATCACACCTGAATTTGTGCTTAAGAAAAAGGTAAGCTGTGCCAAAAAGAGCAGCCAAGTGATTGGAGAGTCGGGCTTTGAGACACCAGATGTTAAGTTTGACCTCCAATCTCTGAGGGGTGGGGCTAGAGATTCAGTTAAAATATGTGGCCAATGATTAAGTCAATCCTGCCTTTGTGACACAGTCTCAGTAACAACTGGGGGCGCCGAAGCTCAGGGAAGCTTCCTGGCTGGTAAACATGTGGATATCCTGAGAGGATGACAGGTTCAGATTCCGCACGGAGGGGTATGGAGTCTCTGTGTGTGGACCCTCCCAGACTTTGCCAAATGTGTTTCTTCCTTGGCAGGTCCCAATTTTTATTACTTATAATAAAACTAAGCATAAGTATTTCCTGAGTCCTTTGAGTTGTTCTAGCAAATTATCAAACTCGAAAGGGTCATGGTGATGCCCACATTTCTAGCCAGTTGTTCAGCAGTGCAAGAGGACTGGGGACACCAGAAGTATGGCTGGTGTCTGAAGGAAGGTCAGTCCCTTAAATCTGTGGCACCTGTAGCTAACTCCAGGTGGTAAGCATCAGAACTGTGTTGCAGTGTTCGAACTACCATTTGACATAGTTTTCCCATTATGTTACAACTTCTCATTGCAATCCCTGTAAGCTCCTTGAGGGCAGGGATTATATTTTACACTTCTTTGCCTTGAATGTAGTAAAAATTTAACAAGTGGATTAATAGTAGGTTAAAAGGCATTTTCCAAGAAAAAGACTTGTTTTGCTAATTATTTAGTTATAGAATGCTCTTATTTGTTCTAAAGACAAGGAATAGCCAAACTGAGGCCCGGGAGGTAAGGAGATGGGCTTGGAAGGTCGCTAGGCCTCTAGTTCTGGCAACCCAGTGTAAAATCCCAGGTCTAAAATGCGCTAGCTGAAGGACCTTGGGCAGGTTATTGCATCTTTTTACACCTCAGGTTGCTCATTTACAAAATGGAATAAATACTAATTTTAGGCCATTTTGTGGTGACTATGAAATGCAAGTTCTTAACATAATGCCTAGTTTTATGCTGAATAAGGATTAGCTCATACTAATGGTTAAAAGAAAAAATTGACTCAGGGAAATATGAAGATTGATATTTTTTTAAATGGGGGTTGGTGGTTTGGAAACCAATAAGCACTGTTAGTCTTTCTATTTCTTTTTAATTGAATAAGCAGTAAGCCAAAACAACTATGACTTGCTTGATGTTTTAAAATGCTTCTATTATGTAGACCAAACTTAAAACTGTAAGAAAAGCTGTTTGAGACACCATCCTAAAGAATCACACAATTAAAATTCTAGTTTCTCAGATGCTAATGTTTTTTATTATTTTATTATTTTAACCCATCAAGTCTATGAAGAAAGACAAGAAAACTGTAAAACAAATCGAACAGCAAATTAAAAAGAAAGTGGTGAAAATTTACAGTTGAGAAAACAGTGCCCACTCCTGACATATACTCCAGAATAGCTTTATTCTCTCTTCCAATATTTGCATCTTAATTTGTAAACAAAATTATTCATGCAGCTGTCCATTGACATTCCAGAACTTTAAAGGTAGGATGCAAATTAGGATCCAAATTAGGATGTAAAGTCCGTGAACCACTCAAACAAGTTGCAGTGAGATTACACTCCTACCTGGTGATTATTCCTGATTCATCAGAAGAGGCAGTATCTGTTCATTTCAAAACTAACTTGACACTGATTCCTTCCAGGTGCTTAAAAAGTCAGTTTCCAAAGCAATTAAACATGAACAAAGTGCATCAGAACTTCATCTCAGTAATTCATCATAGTAACATAAATTTTTTTCATGCAAAATTATAAAATGGGGATTGGAAATTGGATGCCAAATATTGTTTGAGAACTCATTTTTGATAGCCACATGAGCAGATGGCTGCTAACAGTTGCAAGCAGGGAACCAGGAGCCAGGCAGTCTGCGTTTAAGTCCAGCTCTGCTGCGTACTAGCCTGGCTCCCTCTGTGTCTGTCTTTCAGTGCCTCAGTGTTCTCACCTGTAAATCAGAATCAAAACAGGACCTCCCGCACAGGGCTGTGGTGAGGATTAAATGGATTATTCCATGTCATCAGTATAATGCATGGCACCAAGGAGGCCTCAGGAGATGTTTTGATCATGATCCTGCATATTTATCTCTAAAAGATGAAGACAACTGTTTCAGAAATTACCATGAGATAGACTATTACATTTTCAAATTCCTAAGGTGAAGAATTGAATAGAAAGGCTAGAAAAGTACAGTGAAGCCTTTGTGGACAGAGAGGGTTTACTTCCTCAAGCATTTGTAGGCCCCCAGTCCTGCTGTCATTCGTTTTTTCCCACAAGCAGAAATGTAATTGCCTATCTCCAGTGATAAATAAAGGGTGCTGAGCACCAACCCACTGTGCAGTCTGAGGACTTTCTTCAATGTCACAGGGCTGAGCTTCTAGGATGTCCATAGGAACGAGGCACACACAGGGCTGGAGGGTGTGATGGCTGACTCCCTGTTTTCATGAGCTGCAGGGAGGGTGGGATCTGGACCTGGGCCTCAGACCCAGCGTCACCCTCTCTGCTGCTTTTGGGGCCCAGAGTGCATCAGAGAGAAGACAAAGTCCTGTCCCTCCCTGAGCGATGTGGATACACCATCCAGAACTTTGTAGTTTTTTGTTGTTTTTGTTTGTTTTGTTTATTTTTTTGAGACAAAGTCTCACTCTGTCACCCAGGCTGGAGAGCAGTGGCACGATCTTGGCTCACTGCAACCGCTGCTTCCTAGGTTCAAGCAATTATCCTGCCTCCATCTCTGGAGTAGTTTGGATTACAGGCACCCACCACCATGCCTAGCTAATTTTTTCTATTTTTAGTAGAAATGGGGTTTTATCATGTTGGCCAGACTGGTCTCGATCTCCTGACCTCAAGTGATCTGCCTGCCTCAGCCTCCCAAAGTGCTGGGATTACAGGCGTGAGCCACCGCGCTCAGCCCTCTCAAGAACTTTTGTAATAAGAATGGGTTGTGCATGAAAATAAGCTCCAGTTGTTTGTATCAGAGACTGACATTCACCTAACATATAATCGTTATACATGTGGATGTAAAAGTTATACTGATTATACTATTCACAATAGCCAAAAGGTGGAAACAACCCAAACTTATCCACTGATGAATAAGTGAACAAAGTGTGGTACATTGGCAAAATGAAATATTCTTCAGTCATTTAAAAAGAATGAAGTGTTGGGCCAGGTGCAGTGGCTCACACCTGTATTCCCAGCACATCGGGAAGCCGAGGTGGCTGGACCACCTAAGGTCAGGCGTTCCAGACCAGCCAGGCCAACATGGCCATACATCGTCTGTACCAAAAATACAAAAAAAAATTAGCTGGGCGCAGTGGTGTGTACCTGTATTCCCAGCTACTAGGGAGGCTGAGGCAGGAGGATCGCTTGAACCTGGGAGGTGGAAGTTGCAGTGAGCTGAGATCACGCCACTGCACTCCAGCCTGGGCAACAAAGTAAGACTCTGTCTCCAAAATAATAATAATAATAATAATAATAATAATAATAATAATAATAATAAATAAAAACAAAAGAATGAAGTACTGATACAATGTAGATGAACCTCAGAAACATGATGTTTTATGAAAAAGCCAGGTACTGTATGGCCCCTTTACATGAAATATGCAGAATAGGTAAATGCATAGAGACAAGGGGCAGGCTAGTGGTTTCCCAAGGCTGAGGAAGAGGCAAAGGGAGGGATGGCTTTATGTGTATGGAGTTTCCTTGTAAGCTGATAACCATGTTTTGGAACTAAATAGAGGTAATGGTTGCCCAGCACCATGAATGTAGTAAATGCCACTGAACTGTACATGTTAAAATGGTTAATTTTATGTTGGGTAAATTTTACTTTGATTTTTTTAAAAACTGATTTTTATTTATTATTATTATTATTATTACTATTATTATTTTTTATTTATTTATTTTATTTTATTTTTTTGAGACGGTGTCTGGATCTGTCGCCCAGGCTGGAGTGCAGTGGTGCAATCTCAGCTCACTGCAAGCTCCGCCTCCTGGGTTCACGCCATTCTCCTGCCTCAGCCTCCCAAGTAGCTGGGACTACAGGCGCCCGCCACCACGCCTGGCTAATTTTTTTGGTATTTTTAGTAGAGACGGGATTTCATCGTGTTAGCCAGGATGGTCTCGATTTCCTGACCTCGTGATTCGCTCGCCTCGGCCTCCCAAAGTGCTGGGATTACAGGCGTGAGCCACCATGCCCGGCCTAAAAACTGATTTTTAAAAAATCAGGCTCGGTCTGTAAGAATGAGTTAATTCTTCCTGTGAGTGTCAAACGTCCCCTATTAGAGATAACAGGAGTCCTGCAGCTGCTTGGTGAGAAGTTAGACCCGCAGCTCTTCACATTCTTGTGCAGTTTTCAGAGGTCAGAAACATCTTTATCGCACCAAGAAGCCCCCTCACCACCACCACGAAAAATAAATATAAATGCCAGATAAAAAACAAAAAGCAGCTACTTGCCGGTGTCAGAGAGTGATCACAAAGGCCAGGAATGGAAGGGCCAAGAATCCAGGGAGAAGGGAAATGCGTTGAATTGGGTCAGCGTTCTCCCTGCACGTATTTGCTGCTTGTTCAGTATTGAAGGTCAGAGAGACCGAGCAGAATGCTTAGAAACTGTTGACAGTTTCCTAGGTCTGGGGAGATAAAAGTGGAGTTCAGGGCTATAGAGGCAGTGAGCGAAGGCTGGAGGCGCTCAGATCCTCCCGCGGGGAAGGGGTTCTGAGCTGCATCCTAAGGCACTCACCGTTGTCAGTCCGACGAAACTGCTGGAGAGAAGGTGAGGACAAGAGTTCTGAGGGTATTAACTGTGGCCCAAGAAAACTCACCAAGATCCTGGGGAAATCAGAACCTCCAAACAAGGAGGGCAGGCCCCGGGCCTCTGGTGTTGCAGTGGTGGGGGTCCCATGTGGGTACAAGGACAGCTGAACGGACCCGCTCTGTAGCCTCTCGGGCACAGGGTATGGTGAAATACACACCTCCCCATGGCACAGTGAACCCTGAGAGCACTATTTCTAGTCCCTAACGTCCACTCACCGCTGCATGGTTTGGGCTTTCACCTGACCACCTGTCCCTACAGCCTGCCTTTGCTCTCTGCCTTCTCCACCCTCTCCCCATAGCATTCCTTTCCCTGGCTTCCTTCCTCTGGGTTCAGGAGTCGCTGAAAGGCCTGGAATCCCACAAAGGGTCAATATCGTTGTGCCCACTTCAGGCAGGAAGAGATCCATGTTCGCTCCCCACATGATGATAGAAACAAAATCTGTCGGCTGGGCACGGTGGCTCACCCCTGTAATCCCAGCACTTTGGGAGGCCGAGGCGAGCGGATCACGAGATCAGGAGATCGAGACCATCCTGGCTAACATGGTGAAACCCCGTCTCTACTAAAAATTACAAAAAATTAGCCGGGCGTGGTGGCGGGCACCTGTAGTCCCAGCTACTCAGGAGGCTGAGGCAGGAGAATGGCCTGAACCCGGGAGGCGGAGCTTGCAGTGAGCCGAGATCGCGCCACTGCACTCCAGCCTGGGAGACAGAGGGAGACTCCCTCCCAAAAAGGAAAAAAAAAGAAAGTCTGTCAGGAGGAGAATTCTGTCCCCTCTGAATGAGGGGAGCCTGGCAGGACCCTCTGCTGAACAGATGCCCAGGGCTTTCTAACCGCAGGCGTCTGTAGCAGGGTGGGAGCGTGTAGGTGCTTCGGGAGCACCCGAAGCAGCTACAAAGGCCCTGGCTGGTGGCTGGTGAGAGAATCCTACAACATCCAGGTGTCCTGAGCGAGGGTGTGCAGGCTGCGGGGAGGGAGCTATGAGTGTTGCTGAGGCCAACCTGGAATGTCTTCTTTGTGAGCACAGACTCCCACCTGGCGGTCCCCCAGGTGCCTGGCTGTCTGTTGGGAAGCCGTTCTCTGCCCCTCGCCCCACCCCCACCTCACCAGTTAGGAAACCTGGCAGGAATCTCCCCACGGATCCCTTCACACCTGCTTGGAAGGTTGGGGAGCAGGATGCTGACCCCTTTGTGTGGTTCCAGGCTATAATAGCTAATTAACCTGGTAAATAACAATTAATCTAGTGAACCTAAATTTGAATACCCTTTATATGAGTTTTCTTTTAATGTGTAGTATTTATCAAAAGAAATAATCTTCTTTAAATTGAACTGTGTGGGGTATCTGATATTTGTGCATACACACACACAAACACACACACACACATATATTGCATGTTCCATGGTACAGCATAGTACAGGAAACCAGGTGAATGGAGGGTCTGCTCTCAGCTGATGACTGGCAGACCAGCCACTGAGGAAGTGAGCAGGGCTGCCGGAGAGCCTGGGAAAGCACTGCATATGGGGAGGGGCGGGGAGGGAGAGGGCAAGGGAGGCTTTAGGGACAGGTGGCAGGAGATGGGGTGGGTGATGTGCGTGGAGTTTCCATCCACCTCTACCTATGAGCAAGAGCAGCCAGGAGAATGCCACACATGCCCCATGTCCTGGGCCTTGTGTGAATAACTCTGGATTCTGCTTCTCTGTAGGTTTTTTTTTCTCAGTTGAGTTTCTCACTAATTCTCTACTGTATTAGTCCATTTTCACACTGCTAATAAAGACATACCTGAGACTGGGCAATTTACAAAAGAAAGAGGTTTAATGGACTTATAGTTACAAGTGGCTGAGGAGGCCTTACAATCAGGGTGGAAGTCAAGGAGGAGCAAGTCATGTCTTACATGGATGGCAGCAGGCAGAGAGAGAGAGAGTTTATGGAGGGAAAATCCTCCTTATAAAGTCATCAGATCTCATGAAACTTTTTCACAATCACAAGAACAGCATGGGAAAGACCTGCCCCCATGATTCAATTACCTCCCACTGTGTGCCTCCCGCAACATGTGGGAATTCAAAATAAGATTTGGGTGGGACGAAGCCAAACCATATCATCTACCCCCACAGAAAAAGATGCATGAGGAAGGGAATCTCAGGAACAAGGAATTGATTCCAGTGTGAAACTTCCTCCTAGATGCACATGCAAAATCTTTAGTTTTGTGTTTCTTCAGGACACAGCTTGGGATCATCTGTGATGTCCTCCTTTCCCCGGCAAAGCGGATAATGCTGCCATGGGGCCAGGCCTGCCCTCATGCAGCTAGGGGTCACATCTGCCTGCACACAGCATGGGAGAGTGTGGAGGAGGAGGGACAGGACCCTATTTCCAGACAATTGTCTAACAGGAAGAGGATCATAAAATCCTAAGATTGGCTAATCAACCTCCCTGTTCTACAGATGAAGAAACTCACACTCCCAGGACAAGTGACCTCTCAGGACCACACAGAAAGAGAGTTGATGTAATAATTGTAGTAAGTGTTAGAACTAGCCAACTCTGATTATGGGCTGACTCATTTCATAGCACCTTATATAAATTATGCCTTTTAAATCTAGAAATTGGGTTCTGCTGTCATTATTCAGAATTTTAAAATGACAAAACTGAAGCCAAGTGAGATGAAATAATTTGCCTAATTTTCTGAACTCAGAAGTGGCAGAGCTGAGCGTTCCACCCAGGCAGCCTCGGCACTTTCAGCTTAGGGACCCAGCCATGTATTCAGTGCACCAGCACGCAAAGCCTGCCATTCCTGAAGGCTGTTTTTGAAAATGTGCAGGTTACTTCCTTGAGACCCACATTTGGCAGACCTGACCCTTCTCACCATAGTGTAATCAATGTTCAGCCCCCTTCTCCAATTTAAAGTGACAATTAGTAGGCTCTGTGAAGAATGAGGCATTTTCAGATGTTTTTGGAGAGAGGGGTCGTGATGCACTTATCTGGAGATTACTTGTCTAGGAAACTAACTACTGAAGTGCATGCAAATGAAACTGTTGCAGACACAACAAAACAGTATACAGTCAACAGCTAGACTATACTCAGCAAAGCGCAATAAAAATCCAGTACACTTAGATTTGCCTAAACTTTAAATGAGTTTTCTTTGAGTACCTAGTATTTATCCAAGGGAATTGTTTTTAAACTTAAATGTGTATACGTATCTTGTGTTTGTGTGCACACACACACAAACACCCCCCCACACACACATATTCCATGTTCCATAGTATAGTATAGGAAACAAGGGAACACATCAGCTTTTGCCATCTTCATGACAAGCCAGGAATTAAAACTAAGTAAATTAAATACTAATGAAATATAATCCTTTAATTTCTAAGCAAACATTACTTTGACTTTAATTTAATCAACAAGATTATTTAACGTTCATTGAAAAATCCATATTCCTGCGTTTATACTCATGAAGCTTAACCAATTACAGAAGAATACAATACAAATAGTTTCTAAATGGACATAGAATTTAAATTCAGATTTTAATGAACTAACTTCTGGACATTGTAGAGTAGATAATGTAGTCAGAATTTTGCAAACGTTGGAGTGTATACTTAGTAATGGAGTTGATTAATAAATGTAAATGCAGTAAGATTGAGAATGGAATAGATTAAAACTTTATTTTATTCTTCTTGCCAGCTCTGTGGCTACATGGGTGTGAACCAGAACGAGGCAGAAGGGATCTATTTTTCTATTTAGTGCCAATGAGCCCCCATGGATCTATGCAGGGGCAGGGTGCTTTGTGCAGATGAAGGTAAAATCCCTCCCTGAGAGCAGGTCTGTGCTCAGGGGTGTTGGCTTCTCCATTCACAAGCGTCAGGTGGAGCTTGGGTGGAAACCACCTTGATTCTTCAGGGCAGCTGCTCTGGTTTGTTCCAGTTTTAGAGTTAGATTGTTTCCTTTAAGAGCCCTCTACCTCACAGTAACAGACTCTGGTATGGATTTGCATTAGTTGTTTATTTTGTTTTGTTTTTGCCCAAGTAAGAAATTGCACATTTTTCCTTGCACTCTAAAGTCAAAAAGCCGAAGTGGGAATCATTATAAATGCAACATCTGAGTTTCTGTTATAGCTCCTTGTTCTTGGAAATGTTTCATTTGCATCAAGGTCGTGCCAGACATGGTAATGAAGGCCCTGAACAGAGGGAGAACCATCAGGGACTGCTGTGTGAGCAAAGCGTGGACTTTCATCCTGAAAAATGAGTGCATCCGTAACAACATCCTCAAACATAGACGGCTCTGATTAGCGCTCCAGGAGCCCTCTCTCTAAAAACATCTGAAAATGCCTCCTTCTTCCCGGGGCTCACACGAATGGGGTAAGTCTCACGAAGGAGGGGCCTTGGTGCTCAGGAGGTGAAGCGTGCGCCGTTCTCCAGGTGTGCACGTGGGTCCGAGGAATCAGGAGCTCAGGCCGCACAGCCCCGCTGCTGCCGATCACTGCTCACAGCCCCTGAGCCCTGCTCAGAGGCAGCAGCATTTCCTACAAGGGGCAAGGTGCGGCAGTCACCAGGACACCCTGGCTCTTATTTGCAACAGCTGCTGCATTACCTAATAGCCACCCATGGCTTCACGAGGAGGGATGCTCACAGCCCCCTGCAGAGCAGCCGCCTTGTTCCAGCGCCACAGGGAAGCGTCTGCCTTGACTTCCACCCACGCAGTGTCCGCTTCCACACAATCACCCTGAACGGCAAAGGCTAAACACTTTGGTAATCCAAAACAGTAAACCCCAATTGTGCTACTCATAGTCCAATTTCTAAAATTTTACACTACAGCTGTTGAAAAATTCTAATGTTTATTTCACTGCCAGAATCAGCAGGGTAATGGATGTTTCAGCAATAAACATCATGAGCAACACATGAAATCTAATTAGCATCATTCCAATTTGCAACAGTTAAATAAATTATTACTCTGGGCTTTCTCCCCCCTAGATACCAATGCTTAGATTCCTGTAAAAATGTCAACTCTAGAAAAATCCTCTTTCCACTTCCAATTTTTTCTAATTCAATCTGTTTTCTAGTATTTCTTTAGAAACAAACTAATGAAATTCTCTATCACCCAGCTGTATTTACAACAGAGTAAGCTTTGTGACACCCTATACATGGAGTTTGCACAGCAGCAGTATCCATGGGAAAAAATAGTGGGACTGTGTCCCAGTGATCACAGACGAAGGATGCCAGGACACTCTGTCAAAGGAAACTCAGACCTCCACATAGGATGCTTGACTCAGGTCCCAGGTACTGTCACCATGACTGTCCCCCACAATTTTCCCAGGAGGGAGGCACGAGTAGGAGAGAACAGCCCCTGTGATGTCAGGGCCAACCTGTCTCCAGCCTCCGTTCTGCTAAGTGACTCTAGAAGTTCCTCTCCCATCTCTGGCCCAACTGACCATGTGTCGGATGCCTGGGAAAAGGGAACACAGACTTGATGATGATTCCTGGTTCCGAGCTCATGTCACTGTGCTCCCAGGCTGTTGACACAAGCAGGAGCCCTGGGTTTCTTGGATTCTAGCACATAGTTAATAACACAAACCCTGACAGCCTAGGTTTGAGCTGGGGTTGGTTAGGGGTGGGCGGTGGTAGGGGAATAACTTGGGAAAGTTATTTAACCTGCCTGGGTCTAAATTTCCTTGTCGCAAAGTAGGGAAAATAGTTGTACTTACATGGCACGTCTGTGATGTGAATTAAATGTCTGGCACCTAGAACAGTGCCTGGCCCCCAGGATTTGGTGTGTAAAGAGTCCAGGTATTGGTACGAGTCCATGTCAACTGTCTTCGCTGATCCCCAAACCCAGCTGCACCCATTAGTAACTAAAATGAGGCGGGCAAAGGGGATGAGTGGTGAGTGGCAGTGATTGCTAAAGATAGGTCCAGAGACTATATTTCTTAAGACATTCTGGGTCAGGAATAATTACATATAATCCAGCCAATAATTCCAAATCTATGTATTTATTTAATAAGCTTTTATTTAGGGCACGAAGGTGTCAAATTTTGTCCCAGGCACTTTACATATATTTAATCATTTAGTCTCCTCACAACCCATGAGAAATAACCATACTGTACTATCATTATCTACAAAGAAACATGAAGTAAGACCCTAGAGAGAGCCTCCAGCAAAAGGACATCTGTGGTCATCATACATTTTTCAAAAAAAGTTCAATGACAAAAAACCAGTTTTATAAAGTGTATGTTGAACTGTGATAAACTAGCAGTGCATTTAAGAGTGAAACACTGGCGTTAAAAATGAAAGCATCCTTGGAAAACAATCCAGCCCACCTTTTTGTCTCTGTTTTGGTACAATTGTGTTTTTTGTAAACTTCACAGCAAACAACAATATTTTTACCTTTGCATCCTTCTGTCCTCCCTGAAAGCTAACTCTCTAGAGGGAGAGAAAACAATATGGGGTTTGATGCAAGGCAGTGCCTAGCGCCAGGGCAGAGGGATGCACATGCCTTATAGGAGCCCTTAGGGGCAGCGGGCGGGGCAGCAGCACAGACGCATACTTGGCGCTGTTCAGAAGGAGGGATGTTCCAGGTGCTGGGCGAAGCAGAGGAGGCGCAGCCGTGGGGCAGGGCACAGTGAGGCTGGGCATGTGGTGGCCCATGGGCACCTTGGTAAACCTGCTTGGGGGCTTCTGAGCCTCCACTTGTTGAAAAACAGAAGAAAGCCAAGGGTTAAGCCAGTAGAGGAAGGAACCACAAAGGTGTTTTTGCATGGTTAAAACAAGGAGATGGTCGAAGTATGATTTCATGGATCTGTGGTTTATCCACATGCAAAGAGAATTTTTTTCTTAGGTTCAGAACACTAAAAGAAGATAACATTGTGAACAAATCTCCCAGGGAATCCACTCGAGAGATGAGGCACACTGACCACAGATGAGTGAGGTCCTCAATTATTAAAGTCTAGTTGCTCCATTAGGATGAAAGTCTCTGTGGGAAGTAACTTCTAATTAAAGCTGGAGGTGTTCCTTTATACTAGCAGTTCTTGAGGGAAACTGGGTTGGCCATCACAGTGGAGACTAGAGAAGGCTGGGGTGGTCCCTGGATACTAGAGGGAAGTTGGGGAGAAGTGGTGGACAGTGCAGCCCTGTCACAGCACAAGCTCCTGGTCATTGGAGAATGGCTGACAGAGGAAACCCTGCCATGACCTAAGCTCTTAAAGTGTCTGTCAAACTCTTAGGTTTATTAGACTTGAAGTCCAGTAGTCAAGCTCAGTAACTCATACCGGGTCTGATAAGCTGTGATGTCACATTCCCGAGGGGAGGAGAAGTAGCTCCAAGTTCTCATGTATGGGGTCTGATAAGACACCTTGTTCTCCAAGGGAGGGGAAAATACACTCCCAGTCCTTACTAAAGCAAGGCATATGTTGTCCAAAGGACCACCAGAATGGCTTGAGAGTAGAAAAAAGAGTTTTATCAGCAATATCAGTTTGCAAACCAGGGAGAGATCATCTCTGGTGAGAACCAACAGAGCTCTTGAGAGGTGAAGCCAGCTGGACTTCCTGGGTTGCGTGGGGACTTGGAGAACTTTTCTGTCTTACAAGAGGATTGTAAAACGCACCAATCAGTGCTCTGTAGCTAGGATTGTAAAACGCACCAATCAGCGCTCTGTGGCTAGCTAGAGGTGTCTAAAATGGACCAATCAGCACACTGTAAAATGGACCAATCTGTGCTCTGTAAAATGGACCAATCAGTGCTCTGTAAAATGGGCCAATCAACAGGACATGGGCGGGGACAAATAAGAGAATAAAAGCTGGTCACCCTAGCCAGCAGTGGCAACCTGATTAGGTCCCCATCCACACTGTGGAAGCTTTGGTCTTTCGCTTTTCACAGTAAATCTTGCTGCTGCTCATTCTTTGGGTCCGTGCCATCTTTAAGAGCTGTAACACTAGGCTGGGCACAGTGGCTCATGCCTGTAATCCCACCACTTTGGGAGGCTGAGGCAGGCGGATCACGACGTCAGGAGATTGAGACCATCCTGGCTAACACTGTGAAACCCCATCTCTACCAAAAATACAAAAAATTAGCCAGATGTGGTGGTGGGCACCTGTAGTCCCAGCTACTTGGGAGGCTGAGCAGGAGAATGGTGTGAACCTGGGAGGTAGAGCTTGCAGTGAGCCGAGATCACGCCAGATCACGCCACTGCACTCCAGCTTGGGCAACAGAGCAAGACTCCATCTCAAAAAAAAAAAAAAAAAACTAACACTCACCAGGAAGGTCCGCACCTTCATTCTTGAAGTCAGCGAAATGACGAACCCACCAGAAGGAACCAACTCCGGACACATCTTGGAGACCACGAAGGGACTATCGCCAAGTGGTGAGTACCACTGGAACCCTTTTGCTTGCTATTCTGTCCTATGTTTCCTTACAATTTGGGGGCTAAACACCAGGCACCTGTTGGCCAGTTAAAAGCGACTAGCACAGCCACCAGACTAAAGACACAGGTGTCAGGCTTTCTGGGAAAGGGCTCTCTAACAATCTCTGACTCTTCAGAGCTGGGAGCATTGGTTTGCCTGGAACCAGCTTCCGCTTTCCCTGTACTTCTGGGCTGAGCTGAGGGTCGATAGAGAGGAAAGCCATTCAGCTCCGGGGTCCCAACAAAAAGTTGGCTGACCCTGCAGCCATGAGCGGAACTCTGAAAGGCATGTCGCCCAAGCAAGACTCACCCATCTACCCTATCTATCCTGACCCTTGTCTCCTGGGTCCTAACACCTGTCAGACAAACTTCCTCCTGTCTCTCTTCTCCGAGGCTAGTCCTGCTTCTAAAAACCACTCCCTGTCTCTGGTGCTTTTCTAGATTCTCCTATAAGAATGATTTCTAGTATAAATTTTGGGACTCTGTTCCTTTCTTTAGGCACCCAGGCTCACCAATCAGAAAGATATAATCTTTGCCCAAAGTCTTGTTGTGGGGTGGGGGACTATCTGGGATTTTAGGATCCCTCCTCAGACTAGCAGGCCTAACAAAGGTGATTCCCGAAGCTAGGATATGGGTAGCCTCAGAAATTATATCCTTCCTATTCATATGATAAGTGAGGACAAAATGTGTTACTCTTCCAACCTGGGAGATTCCTTCCCTCCTTCAGGGTATAGCCCTCCACTCTGTTTTGGGGGCATATCATCTTTATAGGACAGGGGTAAAGTCCCAATACTAACAGGAGAAAACTCTTAGGACTCTAACAGGTTTTCGAGAATGCATCGGTAAGGGCCACTAAATCTGACATTTCTCGGTCCTCTTTGTGGTATAGGAGGAAAACTAGTGTTTCTGCTGCTGCTTCGGTGAGCGCAACTATTCTGGTCAGCAGGGTCCAGGGACCGTTTTGGGTTACGGGGCAGGGCTTTCGCTCTTCACAATAAATCTTGCAGCTGCTCACTCTTTGGGTCCATGCCACCTTTAATAGCTGTAAAACTCACCGTGAAGGTCCATGGCTTCATTCTTGAAGTCAGCGAGACCACAAACCCACTGGAAGGAACCAACCCTGAACACACTCTCTCTGAAGAACGAAGAGAAGGTTAGAGGTTTTATAAAAAGGAGAAATCTTATGTATTCCTCTTTGAGTAAGTTCATTGGCACTAGGAAGGGTTTGGGGAGCTGGCAAGCTCTGAATAATGAGCAAAGGTGGTGCGAAAAAGTAGTCACAGAATTGTAGCAAGTTATCTCAGAAGCTATGGATAAAACTGGTCTCAAAAGCAGTTCCAGTAGTCAGGCTTGCAGAGATTACATTCTTGGAGCAACATTTTGTAACATGAGTGCTTTATCTCCTGGCTTCTCAACTCTGTTTTAGTTGGATGTGATAAGAATCACATGCACATGTATATTTATTGCAGCACTATTTACAATAGCAAAGACTTGGAACCAACCCAAATGCCCATCAATGATAGACTGGATAAAGAAAATGTGGCACAAATACACCATGGAATACTATGCAGCCATAAAAAAATGGGTTCATGTGCTTTGCAGGGACATGGATGAAGCTGGAAGCCATCATTCTCAGCAAACTAACAGAGGAACAGAAAACCATGCTCTCACTCATAAGTGGGAGTTGAACAATGAGAACACATGGACACAGGGAGGGGAACATCACACACCAGGGCCTGTCCGGGGGTAAGGGAAAAAGGGAGGGAGAGCATTAGGACAAATACCTAATGCATGCAGGGCTTAAAACCTAGATGATGTGTTGGTAGGCGCAGCAAACCACCATGGGACATATAAGAAACCTGCACATTCTGCACATGTATACCAGAAGTTAAAGTAAAATTTAAAAAAGAAAAAGCTAGAAACTGATCTCAGGGCATCTAGAAACAAACAGACAAAAAAAGAATAACCCAATTTGTACAATCAACCTTCACACATGTATCATTCAGGTAGCAAACTATGTAAATGTTTGGAGTAATTTCATAGCTGCATAACCAAAGTAGAGCAGGAGGGCCCAGAAGGGCAGAAGACAGGAACAGGCAGGGACATGCCCAGGCAAAGCCCTGTGGCAGCTTAACAAGAGTTGGGGAACTGAATCCATGTGTGATACGCCTCAAGGAGAAACACTTTCTTTCTTTCTTTTCTTCTCTTTTTCTTTTCTTTTCTTTGTTGAGGCAGAGTCTCACTCTGTAGCCCAGACTGAAGTGCAGTGGTGAGATCACAGCTTACTGCAACCTCTGCTTCCTGGGTTCAAGCGATTTCCCTGCCTCAGCCTCCTGAGTAGCTGGGATTGCAGGCACACACCACCATTCCCGGCTAATTTTTTTTTTTTTTTTTTTTTTTTTTTTTTTTTTTTTTGAGACAGAGTCTTGCTCTGTCACCCAGCCTAGAGTGCAGTCACGTGACTTTGGCTCACTGCAACCTCCACCTCCTGGGTTCACGCCATTCTCCTACCTCAGCCTCCCAAGTAGCTGGGACTACAGGCACCCACCACCACACCTGGCTAATTTTTTCTATTTTTAGTAGAGATGGGGTTTCACTGTGTTAGCCAGGATGGTCTTGATCTCCTGACCTCGTGATCCGCCCGCCTCGGCCTCCCAAAGTGCTGGGATTACAGTCTTGAGCCACCGTGCCCAGCCGAAAATCTTCTTTATTAAAGTAGCTGTGTTAGTCTGTTGGGCCGCCTTAACAAACTACCAGAGACTGAGTGACTTAAACATCAGGAATTTATTCTCACATGATTCTGGAGGCCAGAAGTCTGAGACCATGATTTCAGCAAGGATGGTTTCTCCTGAGGCCTCTCTCCTTGGCTGGCAGGTGCCGTCTTCTCCCTGTGTCTTCACACGGGCTTCCCTCTCGGCATGTCTGTATCCTAATCTTTTCTTAGTAGGACACCAGTCCAGTTGGATTAAGGCTCACCAGATGACCTCATTTTAACTTAATTACCACTTCAAAGACCTTATCACCAAATACAGTCATAGTCTAGGGTACTGCAGGTAAGGGTTTCAACAAATGAATTTTGGGGTAGGAAAAAACTCATCCCATAATAGTGAGATAATTTTATTTGTAAAAAGGTAGTTATAGGTCAAGAAATGCACCTGGAAGTTAAACTTTTCTTTGGAAATAAGAACCCATTAAGAACCCAATTAGGCCCATACAGGCTAATTGCCTGATAAAGATCCACAAAATTATTGTCTAAATAAATGCCTTCACACTTCTCCAATGCTTTACCACAAAAACTCAACATTTTGTGAATTTGGAGTGATTGGGTTCACAGCAAACTTTCCAGCTATATGTGAATTTTTTTGTTACTGATGCCTTATTTAGTAGATTGACCCAGCAGGACTTAATCATTGTTTAAAATGCTTTTTAAAAAAGTGATCAAAATGTATGTCGTGGTGTTATAGGCGGTCGGGGGAACGCCATCATTATGCTGTTCCCAAGCTTGTGTCTTTTTAAAATTATTATTATTTCAATAGCTTTAGGGGTACAAATGGGTTTTGGCTGCATGGATGAATGGTATAGTGGGTGAAGTCTGAGATTTTAGTGCCCTGGTCACCTGAGTAGTGTTAATTGTACCCAATATGTAGTTTTTAAAATCCCACATCCCTCTCCCACCCTTCCTGCTTCTGAGTCTCCAATGTCCATCATAACACTTTATGCCTTTGTCTACCCATAGCCAAGCCTGCAGCTTAAAGGAGTTTCCATGAGATAGGAAAACAGCATGTTCTGATTATTTCTCAAACTCCAAGACAGAGGTACAGATGTGGTAACCTGGATCTGGAGAAAAAATTCCATTAGTTTTGTTCCAGTGGTTTCTGTCCTCTATGCCAGTTGAAATCTAAGAAAAAACAGTTATTCCATCCTAATGAGTTAAGAATGCTTATTAGAAAATGTATTAATGAGCATGGAATTTAGTAAGTATTTGGGGTTTGAAAATGATCTTATATATAATGACATTTAAAAGACTTTCCTACCAAAAATAAATCACATGGATGTACTAAGTAATCTGGAATGAAAGTAACACATATTATTTTTCATTTCAATAGATTCGGGTTAACATTTTGGTCACATTTTTCTCTAATTAGCATTTGAGTGTTAATGTGAGCTTTCCATAAATAGGTGCAAGTTACTTTAACTTTTCCATTGGTTCCCCATGAGAGATCATTGTTGTTCTTATATATGGATCTATTGAGCCCTATACTGTATGTGACACTAAAGCCCTGGGTCTCAGACTTCCTGCTCACGTTAAATATTTACTCTTCTTAGTAAGAGGAGTAAACAAAAATCACAGATGAAAAGCACTTTGAAGGACTCAGAAGATGTTAGAGCAAACTTTCTTTCCCTGTCCTCCTGTTTTCCATGTGGACGCTTCCCTAGTGTAATACTGGCCATCCCTTTCCCTCCAATAGGAGTGAATTCTCTGATTAATCAGTAACAAGGATCTGGCATCCATCTGTTGACATACCTTGACTCAGTGCAGTTAAGGATTTATGAATGAAACACCTCATACATGTTTAGTCACCCTCCCTGTTAGCCAGCAAGCAAGGCAGCATCCTCTCTCGAAGCTGGCTGCCTTCAGAGGGTCTGTTCTGTAAACCAAGGCTGTTTCTCGGACCAACTATCCCAAAACTAGGACGTGCCGAATAAGTAGAAAGAAGTATTTGTCTTATGTTTTAGTCAGAAGTTTCAGATACCAGGATAAAATCACTTTTGTCAGACCTGGATAAAATAAAGTCAGGATAGTATGAAGGAGAGATGGCTCATGCTCACATATGGGAGATAAAAACTGCTTTCAGGGACTTTCTAAAAACCCCACAAGAAACCTTTTTGCATCCTTCATGCATCTCCTGTTTTGACAAGGTTTATCACTAGATATTCTTTAGTACTGCAGTAATTCAGATAAGATATCTCAGAACACTCGCCCAGTAATGACATCTCCACCAGTGAACTGACAACAGCTCTCTGGAACCAATGAATTCTATTTCTAAGCTACTTCTATAAAACTCTCTGTTTTTGCTAATGAAAGCTTCCCTTTGCCCTTCCCTCACAGATACATTAGTGGTTTACCATGCCATGCATTCCAGTTATAATAATTGATTCTTACCCCTGAGTAAACTCAATATACCATAGAAATAAATTTTCTCTAGTGTCTTTTTTTAGGTTGACAACAGAGATGTATAGTAAGATATTTATGAGAAATTGGCTCACGTGCTTATGGAGTTTGAGAAGTCTCACCATCTGCTTTCTGTAAGCTGCAGGCCCAGGAAAACTGATGGTCTGGTTGTAGTCCAGACTCAAAACTCTCATAACCTGGGGAGTCAATGATGTAAGTCTCCATCTGAGTCAGAAGCTGGAGAACCAGTAGCACCAATGTCTGAGGGCAGGAGAAGGTGCAGGTGAGAGCAGGAGCTGGTGTCTCAGCTCAGGGAGAGAGCAGATTTTTCCTTCCTCCATCTTTTTGTTCTCTTCAGGATCTCAACAGATTGGATGGTGCCCACACGTATTGCTGAGGGTGATCTTGACTCAGTCTACCTAAACGTTAATATCTTCCAGGAACACCCTCATAGATGCACCCAAAAATAATGTCCTACTAGTTTATCTGGTCATCCGTTGGCCCAGCCAAGTTGATACATAAAATTAACCATCACAACCTAGCATTCCAACCTCATTCTTTCATCCAGCAATACTATCAAAGGTGATAGACTCTCCTACATCTGTTCCATTCCATTAACCCTAAAACCCCAACAGAAGTCTCCATAACTATGATACTGAGTTAGAAGGCAACAGCCTGTGACTTACTGGGCTGTGTCCTTTGGTGCCAATTTGTGCTGTAACCATATCAAGTCATCTGATGCTCAGAAAGAATGCTTTAGGCATACCTCAACTCAAAGTTCAGTTCTGAACATGGGATAAAGCAAGATGAATTAACATAGATTGTAAGAGCACTTCTTTTGAGAGGCCAAGGCAGGCAGATCACGAGATCAGAAGATCGAGACCATCCTGGCTAACACGGTGAAACCCTGTCTCTACTAAAAACACAAAAAATTAGCTGGGTGTGGTGGCGGGCGCCTGTAGTCCCAGCTACTCAGGAGGCCGAAGCAGGAGAATGGCATGAACCCAGGAGGCGGAGGTTGCAGTGAGCCGAGATCACACCGCTGCACTCCAGCCTGGGCGACAGAGAGAGACTCCGTCTCAAAAAAAAAAAAAGAAAGAAAAGAAAATGAGGCTTTAGCCCCGACATTTATTCTTTTTTTTTTTTTTAATCATACTTTAAGTTTTAGGGTACATGTGCACATTGTGCAGGTTAGTTACATATGTATACATGTGCCATGCTGGTGCGCTGCACCCACTAACCCGTCATCTAGCATTAGGTATATCTCCCGATGCTATCCCTCCCCCCTCCCCCCACCCCACAACAGTCCCCAGAGTGTGATATTCCCCTTCCTGTGTCCATGTGATCTCATTGTTCAATTCCCACCTATGAGTGAGAATATGCGGTGTTTGGTTTTTTGTTCTTGCGATAGTTTACTGAAAATGATGATTTCCAATTTCATCCATGTCCCTACAAAGGACATGAACTCATCATTTTTTATGGCTGCATAGTATTCCATGGTGTATATGTGCCTGAAAGGTCGGGTTACTCTCAAAGGGAAGCCCATCAGACTAGACATTTATTCTTTCATCTCATTTGCTGAGAATGCACGAAGTCCCAGGTCCTGTCCTAGGTGCTGACATCAAACAGTGAACAAGCAAAAGTCCCTGCATCCATGATGTTTCCATTCAAGTGAAGGAGTCAGGCAATAAATAAATAAATATGTACAAAATTGTGACAATTTTATGTATTAACCTGACTGGGCCACAGGATGCTCAGATATCTGGTTAAACATTATTTCTGGCTGTGTCTGTGAGGGTGTTTCCGAAAGAGATTTGTATTTAAATTGGCAGACCGAGTAAAGCAGATGGCCTCCCCAATAGTGAGCGGACATCTTCAAACCCATTCAGGGCTGAAAGTGAACAAAAAGGTCGAGGAAGCCTGAATTCTCTCGCTGCCTGATTGCTTAAGCTCAGACATTGTCCTTCCACTGCCCTCAGACTGGGACTTATCATCCCACACCCCTATTTTTTAGGCCTTTGGACTAGGACTAAACTAAGCCACTGGCTTTCCTGGGTCTCCAGCTTGTAGACAGCAGATTGTGGGACTTAGCCTTCATGAGTTCATGAGCCAATGCCTTGTAATAAATCTCATTTTACACACACATGCACACACACACACACACACACACACACACACATCCTTATTGGTTCATTTTCTCTGGAGAAGCCAAATTTAAAAAATAACATCAGACAGTATTAAGTGGGGACAGAAATCCAAATAAAGTGACAGACAGGTCATCATGTGAAATCTGGAGGGAAAGTATTCCCAGCTGAAGAAACACCAAGTACAAAGGCCCTGAGGTACAGGCAAGAGTGGCATGTCTACTGTTTTGCTACCTTGGTAAAACAAAATAAGAAAAAACAACAAAAACAAAATCACACACACACACACACACACACACACACTACAATAATTTGGAATGGAAGAGAAAATATTAGACACCATGAAGGTAACTTTCTACTCTAGCCAAACCCAAGGCTGTCCAGCTACAATTTACCATACTCTAGAACCATTAAGAGGAGAGAAGAAATTGACTTTTAATACTGGTATCTATTAATTAGTGAGCACCTACCATGTACCACAGCGTGAGGCTATTTACATATACAATTGTATATGTACAATACATACGCATATACAATTAGGTCCTTGCGGCCATCAAGTGCCGTAGGAGTTACAATTTCCATTTCATTCTTGAGAATTCCAGAGCTTGTCCTGTTTCCTAATATCAAATTATATACCCTTTGCTGTTTTCAAGGACATATGCTACAGATACATCCTGGCACAATTTGAATTTGGAATAATTATTGTTTTCCTCTTTTATCTAATCTGAGACTAGGCTAAGTGTGACAGAAAGCCATTTCTCTCATACTGCTATAATGTTTGCTTGTATTATAAGTTTTCTGTGTTTTAGTGATGTATTAGAGTGCTGTTCTACAGGGATAGTCAATAAATCCACACATAGTGTGCCATGTGAATCATCATATTGCTTTTTGAAAATCTGTTCTCAAATAGGAGAAAATATAGATATGTGCTAATAATGGTGCATCAATTATTCATTCTTAAAATACACATTAGCTAGGTTTAAAGTTCTATTCTTATGTATAAAATGTCAGAAAGATTAAGAGCTCAGGTTGCAATTCCTGAGAATAACCTCTATTCTAATTTTCCTACACTAAGAAAAATTTTCTCTTAGTGGTTGTATTAGTTTCCTACTCCTGCTGATAAACTACCACAAACTTAATGCGTTAAACAAAAATGTATTATCTTACATTCTGCAAGTTATCAGACCAAAGTAGGTATCACCAGGCTGCAATGAAAGTGTTGGAGGAGCTGCATTTCTTTCTGGAGACTCCAGGGGAGAATGTTGTCTTCCTGACTTTTCCAGATTCTAGAAGCTGCTCACATTTCTATGGCTCATGGCCCTCTGCCATCTTCAAAGCCAGCAATGGCCAACTGAGTCTTTCTAACGTCAACTCCCCCTGACTCTTCCATTTTTCAGGACCCTAGTGATTACATTGGATGCACCTGGGTAACCAAGCTCATTGACCTATTTTAACATTAGTGATTAGCTACCTTTACTCCACCTGCAACCTTACTTCCCCTTGGCCATGTCAGGTAACATTCATAGATCCCAGGGCTTAAGGGCATGGACATCTTTTGGGGGCCATTATTTTGTCTACCACAGTGATTTTCATTCAAATTTATTCAATTAAATTTTGCTTGTCATCATGGCCTGATTAAACAGAGGTATTTTGATGGACTGCTGTGACTAGAGAGGTGCTATAATCTTCCCCACAAGTTTCCTTTATTTCCGGTATACTCAACAGATTTCCATTGATTCTAAGGTAAAAATGCACAATTTGATTTAATTGCTCAGATTTGAACTGTAGCATGGTAGTCTCTTAAAAAGTTTTTTAAATAGCATAGAATTTGGGAGGGGGTTATGCTTGAAGACTGCAATGTCCATATACTTCAGGGTCTCCGAAGAGAATGACTTCACTGCTCATAAATCAGCATCTTTCTATTGATTTAGTATCACTGTGAGTTTGGTAGAGTTGGGCAGCTTGCTGATAGTTATTTGTTTTCAACTTTGCCGAGTATAACAATTTCTTATCTATTTCAGCGGTTCCCAGCAATGCCTAAAACAGCTTTACAGTTTCTAAGTCATGTTTCAATAAAAACAGTCCCAGGGCCCTGAAGTTATAAACTGATTGTAAAAGACAAGCAGTACATGGAAGCAAGAGGAAACATTAACAACAAAAACAACAGCAACAAAACCTGCGTCCTTTCTCCTCTCAATCTTCTGTTCTTTTCTCCCCTCTATGGCATTGTCTCCTATCAAATGGGCCATTGTTGTGGTGGCAAGGTGACCAACTGGTGGCCTAGAAGGCTTCTCGTCCTTTCAGAACCTTTTCACCTTGTGTAGAACCTGGTTGCCTTGATTATCTATGTAGATCTTTGCACAATTTATGCATTCATGGGCCATCTAGAATTAATGACTGACTAGATGCTTTTGTTTTTGAACAAATGTATTAGTCCTTCCACAGCATCGTGTAGTTGTTTCTGCTCCTTGGAAATGATCATAGGCTACTTTCAAATTCTCACAGATTTTTTTTTATTTGTTGTACAAATTTATGGGGCACATCTGCAATTTTGTTACCTGCATAGATTGTGTAGTGGTCAAGTCAGGGCTTTTAGGGTATCCATCAACCAAAATAATGTACATTGTACCCATCAACTAATTTCTCATCATCCACTCCTCTCATTCCACCCTCAGCATTCCAAGCCTCCATTGTCTGTCATCCCACTCTCTACATCCATCTATACAGGTTATTTAGCTCCCATTTATGGGTGAGAACATGTGATATTTGACTTTCTTCCCCTGGCTTGTTTCACTTAAGATAATGAACTCTAGTTTCATTCCAGTTGCTACAAAAGACACCTCACAGAATTTTGTTTCTTTGTTTGTTTGTTTTGAGATGGAGTCTCTCCCTGTCACCCAAGTTGGAGTGCTGTGGCGTGATCTCGGCTCACTGCAACCTCCACCTCCCAGGTTCAAGTGATTCTCCGCCTCAGCCTCCCAAGTAGCTGGGATTACAAGCATGCACCAACATGCCCAGCTAATTTTTGTATTTTTAGTACAGATTCGGTTTCACCATGTTGGCCAGGAGGGACAGAATTTTAAATGCTTATACATACACATATACCTCTTTATATTTGCCTACACAGAACTAACAAACCTTTGTGAAATGTAACCTACAGGAGATATGATCATATCCAATGCTGGACATGATGCAGATGCAATATACAAATCCATGAGGTAGACCCAGGTATTTCAGATCCTGACCTCGATCTCAGGTTTACTTATTAGACCACAGACCAAAGACTCCCACTGATGTCCCCACAGATTTCACCACCTATTTCTCTTGTCCCACACAGTCTACTCCAAAGTCACCCTCCTCTAGTCCTGTAGGGGATATTCACCTGAGATACTTCAGTGACCCTGCTCACCCTGGAAAATCAGGTGACAGGAATCATCAGTTAAGCCTGTGGACAGTGAGCATCTGTTGGCCTGGATGGTGTGGTGGGTGGAAGGCAGGACCTAATAGGGGCTTTTTATGGTTCCAGCTCCAAACCTCTGATCATGCCAGTCCATGCTGCAGGCTCCCATTCTATTTACGGTCAGGGCCACACGATTTACACTTACTGTCTCAGGTGCTTCTTATAACACTGTCTCCTCCAATTTTTGATAAGCCAATGCTTTTTTGATGGCCCCCCAAATGCCTTTATCCTAGGCATTTTGATGTTCCCCAAAATGCCTAGGATAAAGTAGTACACAGGATATTATTTGACACCTGTTTTAGAATATATGGCATAATTCTGTTTCAACCTTTGCAACTGATATTCACACACACAAGATGAACTGATGAGCGTTTGGCCTCTCTCGAAACTACAGCTTGGACAACTAGGCTCTTCCTATGAGAGACTTTAAAACTCCTCCCGTGGTTAACAGCAGCTATGCTTATTAGGGCCAGAATGACTTATCTTCTTTTGATCACTCAAGCTGGGAGCCTCAGCCTTGTCAGGCAAATTGTAGTAGAGCTGCGGGGCTTCCTCTTTTCATAGTAGAGGTTGGAACCCTGCAATCAATTCAGCAACATTTCTGAGATTTAATTTGCTATGTCTCAAGTGAAATCACTGAATCTATTATTACTACAAAGCATTGTAGTCTAGTCTCGCTTTTCAAATGCATTATAAATGTGAACACGGCCATTTAATTCCCATTCTACTTAATATATAATGGTTCTGACTTTTCACTGTTTAGTAGAAACTGATGTCTGTAGTGGTCTCTTCTACAGAAGAGTCTTCATAGTGACTTTAGTTCTCAGATTTCTGGGAAATGCCATGAAAAGACTTCTGAATATGCCACATTATCTTCTTCCTTGGATTTGATGCATTCTATAAAAGATAATTTTTCATATCCTTATAAAACAAGGATTATATATATTATATTCAAATTCATAGCTTTTAGATGTATTATCCAGCAGAAATATATAAAATAACCACCTCTGTCTATAATCAGAATGGTAGGAGCATAATTGATATTTTCTCTAGGTGAAAAATTTCCTGAGAGCACGCCTTTGGAACACTGGCACTGCTAATGCTGTTTGTAGTGGTCGGTCCTTCCCATTAGCTTGTTTTTCCCCTTAATTTATCTTCTCACTCAACCAATTTACATATTTGCAATCTCTATAAATAACTGAGCAGTAGCAATTTTATCAAATTTTTTAATTTAAAAAAGCTTTCACCTCTGTCAGCTTACTTACACTACTGCAGGCTTTTCTAATTCTTGCCCTGTTTTGTAGAAAAATGCATTTAGGCAAAATACCTTTAATCTTCTGATTAGTCATACATTGAATACGCTCAAAAACAAAAGGTAGTGAGACGAAGCATCCTGAAACAGGGTAATTTTCAAAAGTAGAAGAGAAAGCTGCACTTCCTAGACTTTTGTATTATTAGACTATCTCACAGTCTCACCTCCACACAGCAGTGAACAAACTACATTATTGCTTTTAACAAAGAAATGGACTTCTTAAGAGACTTCCAAGAATTTTTTCCTTTGTTAGTGGAAACTCACAGTCAAAATATGAATTAACTTACTCCATTAAATCAAATGACTTGAGTTAATAGGATGACTGAGTCTAGAGGAAAAACAGAAAAAATAAGCATAACAGTATTATTATTATTATGTTATCAATAATGGGAAAGGATTATTGTCATTCCTGTAGGGTAAAAAATGGCTACATAAATAATAAAGAAGAATTCTTAATTCACGTGAAATTGTAATTAATAATATGCACATGATTTTTCTTTTTAGTATTATTTGCACTGGAAGAAGAAATGGCTATCCCAACAATAAATTCTAATTATATAATTCATCAAAATATCAATGGGATTGTTGTGGTTCATATAGATTTGGATTATAACTTTTAAAAATGTAATGAAGTTACTATGCTTGTACTATGTTTCAGACACTGCGCAATGAATAAAACGTTCCCTCTAAACTCAAGATACATACAGAATTGTGGATTTAATAAGCAGCACAGTGGAATTAAAATATACAAAAGGAAAAGGAACCAACACACATGTGGGAAATCAAGTATTGAAATTTAGTTGATTTTTCTTATCTCTGTACTTTTGTAAACCCGCAACACCTAGCGCAGCATTAAGTCGGCCTTAGGTAGTGAGCTCTCCCTCCCTTATTCCAGATGCCACTCTCTCCAAATGGGGAAAAGCTTTCCACTTACAGAAGGACCAGTCTTGAGTCAGGAGTAGCCATGCACTCCTGTGAGAATCACCAACTAGATGCAAATACGTATTGACTGACTTGGGATGCCATATGAGGTAAGTGAAATTAGATGCCTGTTGTGGAAGCCCAACTCACAATTTTTATTCATGTGGCCCTGAGGAAATCATTAAGCCTCAGTATCTCTTTTTTTTTTTTTTTTTTTTTGAGACGGAGTCTCGCTCTGTCACCCAGGCTGGAGTGCAGTGGTATGATCTCGACTCACTGCAAGCTCCGCCTCCCGGGTTCACGCCATTCTCCTGCCTCAAGCCTCCCGAGTAGCTGGGACTACAGGTGCCCGCCACTATACCCGGCTAATTTCTTTTTGTATTTTAGTAGAGACAGGGTTTCACCGTGTTAGCCAAGATGGTCTTGATCTCCTGACCTCGTGATCCGCCCGCCTGGGCCTCCCAAAGTGCTGGGATTACAGGCGTGAGCCACCACACCCGGCCTTTTAACTTTATTTTAGGTTCAGGGGTACATGTGTAGGTTTGGTATATAGGGTTTGGCATGTCATGGTGTATTGCTGTACAGATTATTTCATCACTCAGGTACTGAGCCTAGTACCCAATAGCTGTTTTTCCTGATTCTCTCCCTCCTCCCACCCTCCACCCTCAAGTATGACCCAGTGTCTGTTCCCCACTATGTGTCCATGTGTTCTCATCATTTAGCTCCCACTTTTAAGTGAGAACATGTGGATTTGGTTTTCTGTTCCTGTGTTACTTTGCTAAGGATAATGGCCTCCAGCCCCATCCATGTACCTGCAAAGAATGTGATCACATTCTTTTTTATGGTTGCATAGTATTCCGTGATGCATATGTACCATGTTTTCTTTATCCAGTCTATCACTGATGGGTATTTAGGTTGATTCCATGTCTTTGCTATTGTGAATAGTGCTGCAAAGAACATATGTGTGCATGGGTCTTTATGATATAATGAATTATATTCACTTTGGTATATACCCAGGAATGGGATTGCTGGGTTAGATGGTTGTTCTGTTTTTAGCCCTTTGAGGTATCACCACACTGCTTTCCACACTGGTTAAAAGAACTTACACTGCCACCAACAGTGTGTAAGTGGCTCTCAGCGTGGCTGTTGTTGGTTTATAAGAATGCTAGTGATTTTTTGTACATTGATTTTGTATCCTGAAACATTGCTGAAGTTGTTTATCAGATTAAGGAGCTTTGTGGCAAAAACTATGGGGTTTTCTAGATACAGAATCATGTCATCTGCAAACAGGGATAGCTTGACCTCCTCTCTTCCTATTGGATACCCTTTATTACTTTATCTTGCCTAATTGCCCGGTCCAGGACTTCCAATACTATGTTGAATAGGAATGGTGAGAGAGGGCATGCTTGTCTTGTACCAGTTTTCAAGGGTAATGCTTCCAGCTTTTGCCCATTCAGTATGATGTTGTCTGTGTGGGTTTGTCATAGATGGCTCTTATTATTTTGAGGTATGTTCCTTCAATACCTAATTTACTGAGAGTTCTTAACATGAAAGGATATTGAATTTTATTTGAAAGCCCTTTCTACATCTATTGAGACAATCATGGTTTTTGTCTTTAGTTCTGTTTATGTGATGAATCACATTTATTGATCTGTGTATGTTGAATCAGCCTTGAATCTCAGGGATAAAGCCTACTCAATTATGGTGGATTAGCTTTTTAATGTGGTGCTGGAATTGGTTTGCTAGTATTTTGTGGATAATTTTTGTATCAAAGTTCATCAAGAATACTGGCCTGAAGTTTTCTTTTTTGTTGTGGCTTTGCCAGGTTTTAGTATCAGCATGATGCTGGCCTCATAGAATGAATTGGAAAGGAGTCCCTCCTCCTCAATTTTTTGGAATAGTTTCAGTAGAAATAATACCAGTTCTCTGTATATCTGGCAGAATTCAGCTATGAATCTGTCTGGTCCCAGGCTGTTTTTGGTTGGTAGGTTATTTATTACTGACTCAGTTTCAAAGTTCATTATTGATCTACTCAGGGATACAATTTCTTCCTGGTTCAGTCTTGGGGAGGATGTATGTGTCAAGAAATGTATCAATTTGTTCTGGATTTTCTAGTTTGTGTGCACAGAGGCAGTCATAGTAGTCTCTGATGGTAATTTGTATTTCTGTGGGGCCAGTGGTAACATCCCCTTTGTTGTTTCTAAATGTGTTTGTTTGGGTCTCTCTCTTTTCTTCTTTATTAGTCTGGCTAGCACTCTATCTATTTTATTTACTTTTTCAAAAAACCAGCTCCTGCCTTCATTGATCTTTTGAATGGTTTTTTTGTGTCCCATTCTTCAGTTCAGCTCTGATTTTGGTTATTTCTTGTCTTCTTCTAGTTTTAGGGTTGGTTTGCTCTTGCTTCTCTAGTTATTTTAGTTGTGATGTTAGGTTGTTAATTTGAGATCTTTCTAACGTTTTGATGTAAGTGTTTAGCGCTATAAATTTCCTTGTTAACACTGCCTTAGCTGTGTCCCAGAGATTCTGGTATGTTGTATCTCAGTTCTTATTAGTTTTAACGAACTTCTTGATTTCTTCCTTAATTTTACTATATACCCAAAAGTCATTCAGGAGCAGGTTGCTTAATTGCCATATAATTGTATGGTTTCGAGTAATTTTCTTAGTCATGAATTCTATTTTTAATGCACTGTGGTCTGAGAGACTGGTTAATATGATTCTGATTCTTTTGCATTTGCTGAGGAGTGTTTTGTGTTCAACTGTGTGGTCAATTTTAGAATACGTGCCATGCGGTGATAAGAATGTATATTCTATTATTCTTGAGTGGAGACTTTTGTGTATGTCTATCAAGTCTATTTGGTTCAGTGTTAGTTCAGGTCCTGAATATCTTTGTCAATTTTCTGCTTCAATGATCTAATACTGTCAGTGGAATGTTTCCTTCTCCCATTATTACTGTGTGGTATTCTAAGTCTCTTTGAACATCTCTGAGAACATGCTTCATGAATATGGATGCTCCTTAGTTGGGTGCATATATGTTTAAGTTAGTTAGATCTTCTTGTTGAATTGAACCATTTACCATTATGTAATGCCCTTTTTTGTCTTTTTTGATCTTTGTTGGTTTAAAGTCTGTTTTGCCTGAAAGTAGGATTTTTACTCCTGCTTTTTCTCTTTTCCATTTGCTTGGTAGATTTTCCTCCATTCCTCTATTTTGAGTCTATAAGTGTCATTGCATGTGAGATGGGTCTCTTGAAGACAGCATACCATTGAGTCTTGCTTCTTTATCCAGCTTGCCACATTGCATCTCTTAATGGGGCATTTAGCCCATTTACATTCAAGTTTAACATTGATATGTGTGAATTTGATTCTGTCATGTCATTAGCTGGTTCTTATGCAGACTTCTTTGTGTGGTTGCTTTATCAAATCACTGGTCTGTGTACTTATGTGTGTTTTTGTAGTGGCTGGTGATGATATTTCCTTTTTGTATTTATTGCCTTTTTCAGGAATTTCTGTAAGGAAGATCTGGTGGTAACAAATTCCCTCATCGTTTGCTTGTCTGAAAAGGATCTTGGTTCTCCTTTGTTTATGAAGCTTAGTTTGGCCAAATATGAAATTCTTGGTTGGAATTTCTTTTCTTTAAGAATGCTGAATATAGTCCCCCAATCTCTTCTGGCTTCTAGAGTTTCTTTTGAGAGATCCCCTGTTATCTCATGGACTTCCCTTTGTAGGTGACCTGTCCTTTCTCCCTAGCTGCCTTTAACACTTTTTCTTTCATTTCAACCTTGGAGAATCTGATGATTATGTGTCTTGGAGATGATCTTCTTTTGAAGTATCTTGCAGTGGTTCTCTGCATTTCCTGAATTTTAATGTTGGCCTCTCTAGCTAGGTTTAGGAAGTTCTCATGGATGATATCCTGGAATATGTTTTCCAAGTCGCTTCCATTTTCCCCATCTCTTTCAGGGATGCCAATGAGTAGTAGATTTGGTCTATTTACATCACCCCATATTTCTCCAGAGGTTTTGTTTGCTTTTTTTTATTCTTTTTTCTTCATTCTTATCTGACTGTCTTATTTCAGAAAGCCAGTCTTTAAGCTCTGCAATTATTTTCTAAGCTTGGTCTATTCTGCCATTAATACTTGTGATTGCATTATGAAATTCTTGTAGTGTGTTTTTCATCTTTATCAAGTTGGTCATCTTCTTCTCTATACTGGCTATTTTGTCTGTCAGCTCCTGTATCAGCTTTTGTGTGTGTGATTCTTATCTTCCTTAGATTGGGTTTCATTGTATTCCTGAATCTTGATGATCTTCATTCATATCCATATCCTGAATCGTATTTCTGTCATTTCAGCTATCTCAGCCTGGTTAAGAACTTTTACTTGAAAACTAGTGTGGTTGTTTGGTGGAATGAAGACACCTTGACTTTTTGAGTTGCCAGAGTTTTTGCACTGGTTCTTTCTCATCTTTGTGGACTGTTGTTCCTTCAGTCTTTGAGGTTGCTGACCTTGGATGGGTTTTCTTTCATTTATCCTATTTGATGACCTTGGGGTTTGATTGTGGTTTAAGGTGAGTTCAGTCAACTGGCTTCATTTCTGGAATATTTTAGAGGGCCAAGGCTCAGCTCAGGACTCCTGGACTGCATATTCTAACTCTGGGGGCTGGGATTAGCCCTGGCTTTGCTCTTTGGCTCCTCAAGGGGAAACTGCTGTTTTTGAGGGTCTGAGGTGCTCCCAGACCACAGGTCACAACACTCCAATAAGTGATACCAGCCAAAGCACTTCATAGGGTGGTGACAGTGGGATCCAGCCTCATTTGCATGTGCCAGCAGCAGTGGCAGTGGCAGTGTGGTGGAGTTTGTGTTCATCAGCTGTGGCAGAGTGCTAGCAGTTGCTGGGATGTTGGCCTCCATGTGGAGCAGTGGTGGCACCATGGCTTGGGGATAGAAGGCCCCTGCCAATAATTGTGTGTGTATCCACACTGGTGGTGGTGTTAGCATGGCAGTAGGGCACTGGTGGACACAGGACTGTATTGCCCTCTGTGCACATTCACACAGGTGGCAGTGCCACTCAGGGCAGGGGTGAGTTTGCTGTTCTCCATGTCCAATTTTGCACTGGCAGCAGTGTTGGCACAGGGGCAGGGTGCTGGTGGAGGGAAGGCTCATAGGCTCCATGCCCACCAATCTCCAGTGACAATAGCAATGTTGCAGTGGGGAGGTGGGAGTGGGCAGAGTGCATTAATGCCAACAGCAGTGGCATGGCCAGGTTTATGTGCACAGGTGCAGTGGTGGGGAAGGGAAGGCAAGGTCTGCCCACACACACACAAACCGGCAAAGCAATGTTTGGGTTGGCCATGGGCTACTGCCTGCAGGCAAAGCAACACAGGAGAGGCTACAGTTGAGGGAGTTTGCAGATGGTGTGTATTCACAGGGATCACTCTGCTAGAGCACTCTGCCAGTTAATTGTAGTCCACCAGCACAGGACCTATGGTTCAATCCCCCAGGAGGTACCTGGGGCCTGCACTGCAAGCAGGCATGGCCAGGATGGGCCCCAGGGAAGGCTAGCAGAACCATGGGGTTCTCAGCTCAGACCAGCCTAGTCTGATGGGCAAGACTGCCCTGCAGAGTTAAGGTCCCACAGATCTCACAGGGCTGAAGTTTCCTATGGGAGCAAGCTGAGCCTCGGGGGATGGGTATCCCTGGTGATGCTCCACTACAGAATTTCCCACACCAAACCCTCTGGGCTCTGCACAGTCTGGGGTTCTGCCACTAATACGTCTCCAAGCTGCTCTCCCTGCCAACTCAAGTGTCCACGGTGCTCAAGGGGTCTCCTCCTGCTGCAATTCCAGAGGCCCATGGTGAGAGCAATTTGCCTATTAAACTCACCCCTTTCGCAAGAGTCACTGGAAGCCAGGAAGGAGTCCTGGTGTGCAGTAGCCCCATGCAGGGTTCCCAACTTCCTCCCCCTTCAGCCCAGCACCTGTGTCTTCCCTCCATCCACTCTCAATACCTTCTCTCTGAAGATCTGCTAGAAGCGTGCCAGTCTTCCCAATGTCCCAGACCCTCAGTGGGAGATGTTCCTCCTGGCTGCGTCTAGTCAGCCATCTTGGAGCAGCTCTGCATTCACCATTTCTGTTCATATCCCATTGCCAGAATCTAGTCACAAGGCTGCACTTAATGATAAAGGATGTGGGAAATGCAATCTTTAACTGGGTGGCTCTATGCCTACTTAAAACTTAGAGGTTCCATGACCAAAGGAAACAGAAGAGGGTGAACACTGGTCTATAACAAGCAATCGGTCACATCTACTTTTCACACAGTGCTGTGCATATGCAGATATGAGTAAGGATGGGGGTTATTAAGCACTTGTATTTCACCAATGCACAGCTCTGACTTCTTTCTAGTTCCTATCTTGGGACCCCGGCAGGCGTTATTTCTCTGGGAACTCTTTTGCCATTTCTGCTTTGTTGGTGGTCTCCTGCAGTGCCACTGCCTCTGTGAGGTCAGCTTCATGATGGGCTCATGAGATGATGCTTACAGTCATTCCATGATCCACACTAGCAAGTTCACCAGCTAATCAGTGACTCTTAGTTTTGCATCTTTCAATGTGTATCACTGCAGGACTGTCTTTCATCAAGTTCTTAATTCTATTTATCTTTTTTTTTTACTCAAGCAAAACATAATAAAAGAGCAAAGCCATTTACTGTTAAATGATAGAAAGCTACCTTGTGCCATCAATCAGACTTAGATCCTGTTTCTTTGGCCAGGAGCCAAGGCATAACAATTATAGTTTATTTTTTAAAGTCATCGTTATAAGGTGCATCTGTTGCCCATGATATCCAGTGATAAGGCACTCATAAATCTTGAAAGGCATTGGGGAGGCAAACTCAGCATGTGCCTTCTCATAACTGATGTGAAGGTAATTACTTTCAGTGAGATGTGTTTGTGAGCCTGTGAGCTCAAGAGATTATCTTTCTTCTGAAACCAAGAAGAATGGCAACACTTGATTCTAGAGTTCCTTTTATAACGAATGAAGCATAGCTGATGAGAATGTATTCAGACGTAAAAAAAGCCACGATAAGCAAACCATGACATCCTAATGGTCCAAAATGCCTATTTAAAACACTTGGCACTGACATCTTTCTACCTGTAACAGCTTTCCATGAGTCATTCAAAATTCCCAGGCTGGCACCTTAGTCCTGTCTTTCTGATCAGGAAAATAACCCTAGTCCTCAAGGAAAAACTAAATTGGTTAAGTGTTTGTTTGTTTGTTTGTTCGTTCGTTTTTAGACGGAGTCTCGCTCTGTTGCGGAGGCTGGAGTGCAGTGGCACAATCTCGGCTCACTGCAAGCTCCGCCTCCCGGGTTCACGCCATTCTCCTGCCTCAGCCTCCCGAGTAGCTGGGACTACAGGCGCCCACCACCATGCCCAGCTAATTTTTTGTATTTTTAGTACAGATGGGGTTTCACTGTGTTAGCCAGGATGGTTTCGATCTCCTGACCTCGTGATCTACCCACCTCGGCCTCCCAAAGTGCTGGGATTACAATCGTGAGCCACCGCACCCGGCCCTAAATTGGTAAAGTATTTTACCAAAGATTAGGAACATGGGTGTTTCGTTTTGCTAAAATCTATCCAAGATTAATTATTTCCCTCTCATGCCATCTTAAAGAACCAGAAAAAATTGGAAATGGCAACAAGCCTTCTCCTTCTCGCTGTCTTAAATCCACCCATTAGATGATTTGAGCACTCCATCTTCACTAGCAAGCATTTAGAAATGAATAGTATTATTGCAGCCTTCCATGCTGCAGCAAGAGTAACAGGAGACAAGCTAAAGCAGTGAAGCAACCATCATAGTCAGGGACTATAGCTCTGCTCGCTGTCTACCAGCAGAACCCCAGCATCTGATGGTCCCTTTCTTGTCTCCATTCAGAAGAAAGAGAGCAGCAGGTCACAAGTGCAGACATGCAGGCAAGGTAGGACAGTATGAAGCTAATAATCACTGTAGCTCATCTCTACTGATACGTGTCTTTTTGACTTAGGTAATAAATTATCCAGTTTAAGTGATAAGTGGTTGGGATTGCTAATCGATAATTTTTTTGTTTTTTCAGCTGACACATGGGTGGAAAATGATGATAAATAAACCCCCAGGGTTCGAGGGGAACAGCCAATCATTATTAAAGCTTGGACCTAATCTCAGATGCTAGGCCACAAATCTGAAGCAAATACCAACAGCAGAGTTATTATGGTCAAAGAAATATTTTTATCTCCAGCATTCAAGGCGCTCTTAGGACTGGTGAATTTTGTTTGCTGAAAGACCTCTTCCCACCAAAAGCAGTCGCCAAACTGAAACTCACAAAAATAGTCTTGCACATGCCACACCAGTATCAGAGGCAACATCTTCCTTTACATACTCAGGATCATAAATGGCATTTATAAAAACATATATGAATGTAAGAAAACATACATGTTATGAATATCCCTGTTAACAAATGTAGCTCAGTGGATCGGAAAACATTGGTTCCATTTTCACAGAATCCAGATAAAGTCACACAAAATGTTCAATGGCCCATCTCTTCATCATCTTTTTGCTTTATAATGTGTTTTAGTTTGGTTTAATTCTGCTTGACAATGAGGATTCATTCTCATTCTCATCTGTGCGCTTGTGCCTGTCATACAGTCTAGAGAGCCAGTGCCTGCCTTTCCCAGAGTTCCCTTCCTCTAGGGTTCTCAGTGCAACCTGACATCTCTCGATGTCAACGAGATAGACTTGCCTGAGATGTAAAAGCACACACAACACTATTCTCCCTCCTCCCACAGCAAGGAACAGAATTGCTGTCTTCAGCAGCCTCTGGGTATTGCCTGTGTCGCCTGTCTCCGCAGTTCTGATGCAAGGTAGCTGGAGTCCACTGTGATTCCCTGCAATATTCTCTCCTGGGCAGCAGCAGCAGCTTCTTGGACCACAGTAACAGTGGCCACCCTGAACAAGAGTGGCAGCCTTCCCTAGCTTTCCCACTCCAGTCCTATCAATAAACACATAACCACAAATATAATCCCTTTCTGCTTGAAATATTTAGAATGCTTTCTATTTTCTGGGCAAACCTGACTAGTATATGATATACCGTCTACTCCCATGACTCAGAAAATGAGCAAGAGAACATTAATGTTTTGTTTTTTAAATCCTCATTTTTAAAAAAGCACAAAGTTAATACCCACTGAAGATGAGTTAATACACACAGTGTTCTTTACACAGAATAATACATGTGCTTTGAATCATCCACTAAAGTTCACATTTTTAAGATGTGAAACCTTGCAATATATATAACACAAATCAGAATCACTGCTGCCCTATTTTAACTCTATTCGTAACATTTATTTTGTGCTTTTTAAACTTCTGACATTTAAAATGTAGTTAATACCGTAAACCCACATGAGTGAGAAAGGAGATTGGGGTTTCCTCATCTGAAAACTTAGTACTTCAGCTCAGTGGTCCTTAGCCTTGGTATATAATATTTCCCTTGGCTGCTTTAAAAAAATGTAGGGGTGGCCAGGCGCAGTGGCTCACACCTGTAATACCAGCACTTTGGGAGGCTGAGGCGAGGGGATTGCCTGAAGTCAGAGTTTGAGACGAGTCTGGCCAACACGGTGAAATCCCGTCTCTACTGAAAATACAAAAATTAGCCGGTCGTGGTGGCAGGCACCTGTAATCCCACCTGCTCTGGAGGCCGAGACAGGAGAATCACTTGAACCCGGGACGTGGGCGTTGCAGTGAGCTGAGATCGCGCCACTGCACTCCAGCCTGGGCAACAGAGTAAGTGTCCATCTAAAAAAAAAAATGTAGGGATGATTTTAACCCAAGAACAATTAAATCAATCACTGGGGATAATAGGTTGGCCGTTATAAAGGCAGCCCAGGTGTTACTAATGCATTGCCGAGACTGGGAACCACCGCTAACACCAGGGCATCTGCAAAGGACCTTGCCTACCTGGAGACCAGAGGACTTGGACTAAGTGATATCCGCTCCTACCTATCACGTCTACAGTTTTATGGCATATCACTAGCTGCTCTCTTCTAAGGCTACGTAAGATGAAGGGAATAATGAGCATGTTTGCAACTGAGCCAATGTATTGCCAGCTCTAGAAGAAGAGTATCGAGTGAAAACTTTTTTTTTTTAAGACGGAGTCTCGCTCTGTCGCCAGGCTGGAGTGCAGTGGCGTAATCTCAGCTTACTGCAAACTCTGCCTCCTGGGTTCAAGCAATTCTTCTGCCTCAGCCTCCAGAGTAGCTGGGATTACAGGCCCACGTCACCACCCCCCACTAATTTTTGTATTTTTAATAGAGATGGGGTTTTGTCATATTGGCCAGGCTGGTCTCGAATTCCTGACCTTAAGTGATCTGCCCCCGTCAGCCTCCCAAAATGTTGGGATTACAGGTGTGAGCCACTGCGCCAGGCCAACTTTTTTTTTTTTAACGCCAAAGAAAATATACGCAGGCAACCAAAAACATTGGACTAGAGTTAATGTTAAGCTTAGGATGTCTGCCTTCTGGAAGACTCGCCAGTTAATAATATGCTGTTAGAGAGCCTTAAAATGAGCCTTTTCAAGAGGTTTGGCATAGTTATGATATGAGCCAACTTAGAAATTGTTTAAGACAAAAGGTCATCAAGTGGGACTATCAGAACTGAATTTACAACAGAATTAACTTTTTTTCACTGAGGTTACCTCCGGTTATCCCCCAAAAATGTGACTTTATAAATACATGTGGGTGTTCTAGCTCTGAAAATTATTACTAGACAGCTCTGTTTTGTATTATTAATCTTTTGTTAACTCTAAAACTTACCTGTTTGTTACTCAACAGACAAAATAAATATACACTGCCAATGGGGTAGTTTGTAGTGACCCAAAAGGATTTATTGATCTCTGATATGTTTGTTCTATAAGTGTTTCAAGTTTATATACTGATGGTATACAGCATACTAACTTCATTTTAAAGACCAGAAAATATGTTCAGACTGTAGGTAAAATTTTCCATAAAATTGTACCTTTAAAGACATTGATAAGTAAGCATTGGTAAAATTACAGGTAAGTGAAATTAAAATTATGAACCTACTTAGGCACTGCTTGTGTTTTTATCTGTCATCCTAAAGTACGTAAAAAATCACCCTCCAAAAATCCAATAAACATTTAAGTATAATTATTGAAACAAAAGTTTTCTTTTTGTTTAACTAGAAAGTAATAGGGGCACACTGAATCAACTCGGTTTTTTTTATTTTATTTTTCTCTATTGTGTTGCTCTTTTCAAAGTCATTCATTTCTGATCTTAATTATTGCATTCCTTTTTCTTTGCTATGGTATTTTATTTGTTCCTTCCCGCCCCCCCTCCGCCCCCCACCAGGTCTTTACTGTAAAACTATACCATTAACTTGAGGACTTTCTTCTTGTCAAGTATAAACATTTAATGATATAAATTTCCCCCTATGCACTGCTTTACCTGCATCTCCCAAATTCTTGTATTTGATGTTTCATTTTCATTCAAAATATATTTTAATTTCCCTTGTGACTTTCTTTTTTGCCTATGGGTTGTACAGAAGTGAGTCATTTCATTTCCAAATATTTGGAGGATTTTTCAGACATCTTTCTGCTATTAATTTCCAGTTTGATTCCACTATAGTAACAGAACATTCTTCATATGATTTCAACCCTTTTAAATTTGTTGAGGTTTGTTTTATGTCCCAGTATCTTGGTAAATGTCCCATGAGCCCTTGAAAAGAATGTGTATTCTGCTATTGCTGAATAGAGCATTCAATAAATACCAAATTTGTCAAGTTGCTTAACAATGTAGTTCTAGTCTACATATTTTACTGATTTTCTGTGCATCTGTTCTATTACTGAGAGAGGAATGCTGCAGTCTCTAAGTGTAGGTTTGTCTATTTTTTCTTTCTGTTCTATCAGTTTTGCTTTATGCATTTTAAAGCTCTGTTGTTAGGTGCATACACGTTTAGTCTTTTTCTTCTTGATGAATTGGCCCTTTTACACTATATGTGGTGGCTTTTTATTTCTGAAGATATTCTTTGTTCTGGAATTTCCTGTTATCTAATACTAATAGAGCAACTGTTTGCATGGCATATATGGTATATTTTTCATCCTTTTACTTTTAACCTGTATACTTTTATATTTAATGTGAATTTATTATAGATAGATTATAGTTGATTCTTGCTTTTTTATCTAATTTGATCATCTCTGTGTTTTAGTTGGTATGTTTAGGTCATTTAAATTAAATACAGCTACTGATACAGTTGGATTTTAATGTACTATCTCATATCTTGTTTCTATTTGTTATATTTGTTCTTTGTTCTTTTTCTAACTGATTTTGAATTATTTTTAATGATTCCATTTAATCTCCATTTTTTGTTTTTTTATCATTTATGCTTCTTTTAAAAATATTTTAGTGGTTCCCTAGGTTTATAATATGCACCTTAAAAAATTGTTTTTCGTAGAGACAGAGTCTCACTTTGTTACCCAGGCTGGTCTCAAATTCCTGGCCTCAAGGGATCCTCCTACCTTGGTATCTCAAAGTGCTTGGATTACAGGGATGAGCCACTATGCCTGACCCATGCATCTGTAATTAATGACACCTTACCTATAAATAATAATATACTGCTTCTCATATTGTATCAGTCATGATTCAACTGAGAAACAGAACCAATAAAAGATTTTATGTTTGTGAATATAGGTGTGGAAAAATTTTTATGATATTTGCTATAGGGCCATGATGTTGTTATAACTGTGGGAGCTGCTTAAAGCAATCTCTGCAGGATGTTGTCTTCATGTCTGATGCTGGAGTTTGAAGTCCACAGCACAGACAGGAAGGAGACATGGATGTAGAGGGTAAGACATCAAAGACAAGCTGTATCCCACAGGCAGGAGCCCCAGAAGATGTACTGAAATCCATCAGTTCTTGTTGTTTGTATCTTGATGCTGTCATGGAGCTAAGTACACAAACTTGGCCTAGACGTCAGAGATGCTGAAAGAGTATTCAGGGAAGGTGGAGCTGTTTCAAAGCCAGCCACTGCTCTTAGCCGATGGTATGTGTCAACAGTCAGCAACAGCATGCGTAACCTACAAGACCAAGAATAGATTAACATTACCAGGGAATAGCAACCTTCTGACGGCCTTCAGAGTCATAATAAACTTCCCGAATGCAGGCTTCTTATTTCATTTCTGGTACTGAAGACAGTGCCTAACTTGTAGATAATACTCAGTGACTTGGACACCCTAAAATACATCACATCCTGCATCTAACTAAGTGGTTTTCCATACATCATCTAACTTGTGAGGTAGCCAGTGCAGGTGCACCCATGCTGCTCTTATACAGGAAAGAATGAACAACTCTGAGCAGTTCAGTGATATGTCCAGAACCAGGCAGGCAAGGGGCAGAGCCAAGGCCAGAGTGCAGAACTCATATCTGCTGACTGTTAGGCAAGCAGGGTGATTCTCAAACTCTGTGTACAACAGAATTATCTACAGATCCATCATTTAATTTAATCAAAACCCACATTTCATGGATTTACCCAAGAATTACTGAGTTCAAATCTCTGGAGGTGGAGGCCATGTAATTGTGATATACACCAAAGTTGAGGACCCCTGTGGCAAGACTTTCAGATAAATTGGAAAGATGACTTGGGGCCACATAGTGGACGACTTGGTCTCTGAGATGGTGGCTTTCAGATGTTGGCACATAAGAATGACCTGGGGCCCTCCCACAGTCACCACACTCTGGTTTTCCGGGACAAGCCAGAAATCTGTATCCTAAGAGAAGTGTACCATGTACCACACTCAGTAAACACAGCTCTAAGGAGTTTCTTCCCTTTGGGAAACAGAGGGCTGCTGAATATTTCTTGAGCAAACTTTTTTTTTTGTTCGAGACAGGGTCTCACACTGTCCCCCAGCCTGAAGTACAGTAGTGTGATCACTGCTTACAGCAACCTCAACCTTCCAGGCTCAAGTGATCCTCCCACCTCAGCCTCCCACAGAGCTGGAACTACAGGCATGCACAACCACATCCAGTTATTTTTTTTTTTTTTTTTAGTTTTTGTGGATATGGGGGTCTTGCTATGCTGCCCAGGCTGGTCTCAAACTCCTGGGTTCAAGTGATCCTCCTGCCTCAGCCTCTCAAAGTGCTGGGATTACAGGTGTAAGCCACCACGCCCAACCTATACACATATTTTATATAATGTTTCCATTCTCCAAATATCCAAGCATCTATCATAGAATTTCACAGTGTTAAATGCTTCTAGACATTTTAGTTCTCTCTTAATCTTCATTTGTTTAACCATCAACCAGGTGGGGACACTTTTCATTTTTTTACTGAGGATATAGTCTAGTAATCCAATGGGGAAAAGGGTTCCTCCATAAAAATTATCTTTGTCTCCCTTTGGAGAAAGAGCAAACATTATTATTTTTTAATGCTTTGTTTAAAGTGAATTCAATAATAGTCTTTGTGAAGTCACAGAAAGTACCTTAGAGGCCTCAAAACATTTTGATGATTTCTAAATGTTTTGTTTCTCTCTCTACAGAGAAATCAGATGTTTATACTCACAAAAAACAATCCTATTGTATTGTTTTTGTCCTTGGAGTATTTTTCCTTGGAGAGGACACATGTACACTGTATGGGGAAAGCCTCAGAGGGTACCATCTTGCTTTCTCAAGTTCATTTTTTTTTTTTTTTTGAGTGCAGTGGTGCGATCTTGGCTCACTGCAACCTCCACCTCCCTGGTTCAAGCAATTCTCCTGCCTCAACTTCCTGAGTAGCTGGGATTACAGGCACCCACCACGATGGCTGGCTAATTTTTTTTTTTGTATTTTTAGTAGAGACGGGGTTTCACCATGTTGGCCAGACTGGTCTCAAACACCTGACTTCAGGCCATCTGCCCACCTCGGCCTCCCAAGTACTGGGATTACAGGCATGAGCCACCGTGCCCAGCCTCTGAAGTTCACTTTCTGAGATTCCTAAGGAATTAATAAAATAAAACCCTGGAAAATAGCCTATGTGTGCCTGAGTGTAAGAAGGAATGCACATGCATGTGCATATGGAGACACAGAATTCCACCAACCCTGCCCTGTCACTCGGTGGGCTCTTGTCACTGTCACACACGTTCAAGAGCTAAGCATGATGCATTCAACGAGAATATGATTAGTCTCGTGCATAAGTCTACAACAATAATGAGCAGCAGACAGAATGACAGTAATAGCAGTTCTTAATTCTCCCATTTATAAGAAAGAAGATTGACTAATGAAGCTGTCTGCCAGTGGCTGCATTGTCTGAATTACTATTAGTTTAGAGGGAATTACGTTAAAAATTTTAATAACATGCAGTATAATAATAACAAAGGTTATTCATCACCAAACAAGCATTTTCAGTGCCAATGAAAGGCCCCTCCACAGCGGCTGCACTGGTGAATCCAAACAGCCTTTTTCTGTGTGATTGCTCTGCACGGGGTCTTTGGCAACAATGAAGAAACTGGTTAGAGAGAACTAAGTTTGTAGACTCACATTTTTCAAATATAGTAATGTAAATATATTTTCCAATCACATTCCATAAGAGATGATTCATGAAATCAGACAAAAGTAAATTATCACAGGCAAGAGTAGAGCTTCCTTCCTCAGATTGGTGTTACCATAAAACATCTTTGGAGCCTTCTCTAAACGATACCAGCTTTTAGCTCATAATTTATGCTCTTCTCTGGAGTTTTTCTCTAGAGTGGAAGCCACAAATTTCTTTACTTGTGATTTAAGATATAGTTTCTCAATTAAATGGCAAGCTTCTACTGCCACCAAAAGAAATGGTAATTCAATCTACCTTAAACACTCTCATTTCTAAAAATGCTCTAAAAGCTTTGGGTAAGATTAGCACAGTTCCTGAGGCAAAAGCTTAACTTTGTTTCATACCTGTTTAAAAACTGGTAAAAAGTCGTATAGATATACTCTACAAGAAAAGTATTATGAAGAGACCCAGTGAGGAATGCTCAACAATGGAGTTAAAGGGGAAGATGTGTAGTTGTTTAACCCTCTATCTAAGATGTGGTCTGTAGCATGTTTGGGCTTATGCTGTTTGGTTGCAAACTCAGGCGTTGAAGAAAGAGGCTGTAATTTATTAAAGCCCGATAACCCCAACCCATGATGTATTGGTTTCCTGGGGCTTCACTAACAAAGTACCACAAAATGGGTGGCTTAATAACAAAACTGTATTTCCTCACAATGCTGGATACCAGAAGTTCAAAGTGCCGGAGGGCTGGTTCCTTCTGAAGGCTTTGAGGGAGAATCCACTCCATGCCTCTCCCCCAGCCTTTGGCATTGTTTGGCTTGTAGATGGTTTTTCCTCTATCTCTTCACATTGTATTCCCTCTATATATGTCTGTCTCTGGGCCCAGATTTCCCCTTCTTATGAGGACACAGTCATATTGGATTAGAGATCACTCTGATGACCTCATCTTAACTTGATCATCTGCACAGATCCTATTTCCGAAGAAAGTCATATTTACACATCATGAGGGTTAGGACTTCAAACACTTTGGAGGGCAAAATTCAACACATAACATATGCTGATGATCTTGTAGTTTACAGATGATGCTGTAACCTTCTGTTTATTTTTTTATTGAAAAACACATGACAAAGTTTATCGTCTTAATGATTTTTAAATGTATAGTACAGTAGTCTTAACTACTAATGTATGTTGTTGTGCAGTTACTCTCCAGAACCTTTTCATTTCTTGTAAAACTGAAACTATGTACCTACGAAACAACCCCCTTTTCCCTCTCCACCCAGCAATCACCGATCCACTTTTTGTTTCTAAAAGTTTGACTGATTTAGATACCTCATAGAGGTGGAATCATGCAGTATTTGCCTTTTTTGTGACTGGTTTATTTCACTTAGCATAATGTCTGTCCTCAAGGTTTGTTCATTCATGTTGTCATGTGTTTAAGAATTTCTTTCTTTTTTAAGATTAAATAATTTTCCATTGTATGTTTATACCACATTTTCTTAATCAATGGGCATTTAGGTTCCTTCCACCTTTTGGCTACTGGGAATAATGCTGCAATGAATATGGGTGAGCAAATACCTCTTTCAGATAATATTTTCAATTCTTTAAAATGTATACTCAGAAGTGAACTGCTGAAAGTTATGAAAATTCTCCATCATACTGCTTCCCATAGTGACCACACCATGTTACATTCCTGTTAACAGTACAAAAGGGTTCCAATTTCTTCACAACCTTGTCAATAGTTGTTATTTTCTATTTTCCTGATGGTAGCCATCCTAACAGGTGTGAGGTGATATCTCATTGCAGTATTCACCTGCACTTCCAGAATGGTTAGTAATGCTGAACATCTTTTCATATGGTTGTTGGCTCTTTGTATGTCTTTTTTGAGAAATGTTTATTCAAGTTCTTTGCCCATTGTTTAATTGGGTTGCTTCTTTGTTTGTTGTTGAATTGTAGGAGTTCTTTATATATTCTGGCTATTAACCCCTTAACAGATGTATGGTTTGCGAACATTTTATCTCATTCCATAGGTTACCTTTTCACTATGTTGATTGTTTCCTTTGACATGCAGAACATTTTTAAGTTTGATATGGTCCAATTTGTCTATTTTTGCTTTTGTTGCCTGTGCTTTTGGTATAATTACCATAAAATCATATCCAAGTTCAATGCCATAAAGTTTTTCCCCTGTGTTTTCTCTTAGAAGGTTTGTATTTTCGGGTCTTACATTTAGGTCTTTACAGGACTTCCCACACTATGTTGAATAGAAGTGGCAAGAATGGGCATCATATGACAAATATCTGCCCAATCCCTGCAGCCCCCATCCCTGGCAACCACCATTCTATTCTCTATCTCTATGAGTTTGACATTTTTAAGTTCCAGATATAAGTGAGATCATGTGGTGTTTGTCTTTCTGTGTCTGGCTTATTTCACTTAGTATAATGTACTCCAGATTATCCCAGATGACAGGATTTCCTGACTGGACAGAATTTGCTTCTTTTTTCAAGACTAAATTACTATTCCCATTGTGTATATATGTTACATTTGCTTTATTCTGTCATTTGATGATGGACACTTAGGTTGATTCCAGACCGTGGCTATTGTGAATAACATGCTGCACTGAACATGGGTGTGCACATACCTTTTTGAGATCCTGATTTCAGTTCCTTTGGCTATATACCAAAAAGTGGGACTGCTGAATTATATGGTATTTCTATTTTTAATTTTTTGAGAATTCTTCATACTGGTCTCCATAATTTCTGTACTAAAATTCTCACCAATGTAACAGAATTCTTTTTTTCCGCATCCTCACCAACACTTACCTTTTATCTTTTTGATAATAGCCATTCTAATTGATGTGAGGTGGTATCTCAATGTAGTTTTAATTTGCATTTCATTAATGGTTAGGGTGATGTTGAGGATTTTTTCAAATACCTGTAGGCCATTTATATGTCTTTTTTTGAGAAATGTCTGTTTAGGTCTTTGCTCCTACATATATAGATATAGATATTGATATAGATATATACATATATCTATATATATATAGAGAGAGATTTTTTTTTGGAGTCTTGCTCTGTTGCCCAGGCTGGAGTGCAGTGGCGCAATCTTGGCTCACTGCAAGCTCCGCCTCCCAGGTTCACGCCATTCTCCTGCCTCAGGCTCCTGAGTAGCTGGGACTACAGGCGCCCGCCACCATGCCCGGCTAATTTTTTGTATTTTTAGTAGAGACGGGGTTTCATCGTGTTAGCCAGATGGTCTCAATCTCCTGACATCGGGATCCGCCCTCCTCGGCCTCCCAAAGTTCTGGGATTACAGACGTGAGCCGCCACGCCCGGCCAGTCCTTTGCTCCTATTTTTTAATTGGGTTATTTGTTTTCTGGCTATTAAATTGTGTGCTTTTTATATACTCTGTTTATTAACCTCTTATCTTCATGGTTTGCAAATATTTTCTCCCATTCTATAGGGTGCCTCTTCTCTCTCTGATTGTTTCTTTCACTGTGCAGAAGCATTTTATTTTGATGTTATCCCATTTTTTTTCAGTTAAACAGGAGATATATTGTACAACATGGTGAGTATAGTTAATAACAATGTATTGTATACTTGAAAATTGCTAAGAAAGTAAATTTTAAGTGTTCTCATCACCAAAAATAAGTTTTTGAGGTAATGCACATGTTAATTAGTTTGATTTAGCCATTCCACAATCAGTATATTTTTCAAAACATTGTGTTGTACACCATGAATATATATAATTTTTGTCAATTGAAAAATAAATAATCTTTTTAAAAAATAAAAATCTATAAAATTTTTTAAACAGTGGGCATTCTTGCCTGGCTCCTGATCTTAGAAGGGAAAGAATTCAGTTTTTCACTACTGAATATAATATTAGCTGTAGGCTTGTCATATATGGCCTTTACTATGTTAAAATAATTTCTTTCTCTTTCTAGTTTGTTGAGTGTTTTATGATGCAAGTGTGTTTAATTATGTTAAATTCTTTTTCTGTACCAATTGAGATGATCATATATTTTTTGTCCTTAATGTTGTTAATGTGATATCTTACATTAATTGATTTTCATATGCAAATTATCCTTGCATTCCAGAAATAAATCCCATTTGGCCATCACATATTATCCTTTTAACATATAGTTGAATTTGGCTTGCTAGTATTTTTTTAAGTATTTTTCCATTAATACTCATCAGAGATATTGGCTTGTAGTTTTCTTTCCTTGTATCTTTCTCTGATTTTGATATCAGGATAATGTTGGCCTCATAAAACGAATCAGAAATATTCCCTTCCTTTCAACTTTTTGGAAGAATTTGAGAAAGATTAAAAATTCTTTAAATATTTGGTAAAATTCTCCAGTGAAGCTATCAGGCCCTGGTATTTTCTTTATTGAAAGATTTTTGAATACTGCTTCATTCTCCTTATTTGTTACAGGTCTGGTCAGATTGTCAGTCTTGACAGGCTGTATTTTTCTAGAAATTTTCCATTTCTTATATATTATTCAATTTTTTGCCCATAAGTGTTCATAGTAATTTCTTTTTCCTTTTTCTTTTTTTTGGGAAGGAGTCTCGCTCTGTCACCCAGGCTGGACTGCAGTGGTGCGATCTCGGCTCACTGCAAGCTCTGCCTCCCGGGTGCACGCCATTCTCCTGCCTCAGCCTGCTGAGTAGCTGGGACTACAGGCGCCCGCCACGACTCCTGGCTAATTTTTTGTATTTTTAGTAGAGACGAGGTTTCACTGTGTTAGCCAGGATGGTCTTGATCTCCTGACCTCGTGATCCTCCTGCCTCAGCCTCCCAAAATGCTGGGATTACAGGAGTGAGCTACCGCACCCAGCCCAAGTGTTCATAGTAATTTCTTATGATTCTTTTTATTTCTGTAGTATCAGTTGTAATGTTTTCCCTTTCATTTCTGATCTTTGTTATTTGTGTTTTCTCTCTTTTTTCTTAGTCTAGCTAAGGGTTTGTCAATTTTGTGGATTTTTAAAAAAACGCATTTAAAAGTTTTTTTCTATTATTTTTCCGTTCTCTATTTTATATTTTATTTAGTTCTGCCCTAATTTTTATTATGTTCATTCTTCTGCTAGCTTTAGATTTTCTTTTTTTCTTTTTCTTTTTTTTTGGAGACAGAGTCTCACTCTGTCGCCCAGGCTGGAGTGCAGTGGCACAATCTCGGCTCACTACAAGGTCTGCCTGCCGGGTTCACGTCATTCTCCTGCCTCAGCCTCCTGAGTAGCTGGGACTACAGGCACCCGCCACCACGCCTGGCTAATTTTTTTGTATTTTTAGTAGAGACGGAGTTTCATCGTGTTAGCCAGGGTGGTCTCGATTTCTTGACCTTGTGATCCACCCACCTCGGCCTCCCAAAGTGCTGGGATTACAGGCATGAGCCACAGTGCCTGGCCAATTTTTTTCTTTTTTATAGGTCCTTGAGGTGTAAAGCTAGGTTGTTAACTGGAGATCTTTCTTCTTTAATGTAAGCATCTGTCGTTATAAACTTTCCTCTTAGTACTGCTTTTGTTGCATCCCATAAGTTTTGATATGTTGTGCATTTATTTTCATTATCCTCAGGATAATTTTATAATTTCCCTTGTGACTTCTCCTTTGACTTCAGTTGTTTAAGAGTGTGTTGTTTGGCTGGGCGCGGTAGCTCACGCCTGTAATCCCAGCACTTTGGGAGGCTGAGGCGGGTGGATCATGAGGTCAGGAGATCGAGACCATCCTGGCTAACATGGTGAAATCCCGTCTCTACTGAAAATACAAAAAATTAGTGGGACGTGGTGGCAGGCGCCTGTAGTCCCAGCAACTCGGGAGGCTGAGGCAGGAGAATGGTGTGAACCTGGGAGGCGGAGCTTGCAGTGAGCCGAGATTGCGCCACTGCACTCCAGCCTGGGTGACAGAGCGAGACTTTGTCTCAAAAAAAAAGAGTGTGTTGTTTAATTTCCACCTAATTTTGAATTTTTCGATTTTCCTTCTGCTGTTTATTTCTAGTTTCATTCCATTCCATTGTTGTCAGAAAAGATACTTGCTTGGTCTGATTTCAATATCCTTAAATTTGTTCCATGGACATGGAATATGTTCTATGTGCACTTGAGAAGAATGTATGGTCTGCTGTTGTGTGGAGTGTTCCGCAGGTGTCTGTTAGGTCTAATTGGTCTATAGTGTTGTTCAAGTCCTCTGTGTTCATATTAATCCTCTGTCTGGTTGATATATTCATTATCGAAAATAAGGTATTGAAATCTTCTAATATTATTGTGTTCCTGTCTATTCAATTCTACCATTGTTTGCTTCATATATGTCTGTGTTCTGATGTTAGGTGAATATTTATAATTGTATCTTATTTTATTGATCCTGTTGTCATGTATTGTTTTTCCTTGTCCCTTGTGAAAAGTTTTAGAATTATAGTCTATTTCATCTGATATAAGCATCACAACCTCTGCTCTCTTTTGGTTACCATTTGTATGGAATATCTATTTCCATTTTTTCACATTCATTCTGTGTGTGTCCTTAGAGCTAAAGTGAGTCTTTTGTAGACAGCATACGGTTGGATCTTGTTTCTTTTTCAATCCATTCAGCCATTCTGTGTCTTTTGATTGGAGTGTTTAATTCAATTACATTTAAAGTAATTACTGATAGGAAAGAAATTTTACAATCTCCTGCTGTCTTCTCTTGTGATTTTTTTCAGTGACATGTTTGTATTTCTATCTCATTTTTGTACATCTTTTTAAGATATTTTATTTGTAGTTACCATAGAGATTACATTAAACATCTTATAGTGAACTTGATGAACTTACATGAACTTATAATTATGAACTTAACTTCAATCACACACAAAACTTTACTTCTTTACATGTTACCCTACACACACTTTATGTTCTTGGTGCTATCAATTACATTTTTAACTTTATGTATCAATGTATATAGATTTATAGTTTAGTTATTTTCATGCTTTTATATTTTTAACTACACTAGAATTAAAAATTATTTATGCACCACCATCATAGTATTAGAGGATTCTGTGTTTGCTTAAATATTTACCTTCAGCAAAGAGCTTTATATTTTCATATGATTTCATGTTGCTAGCTAATCTTTTCATTTCATTTTGAAACTCCCTTTAGCTATTCTTCTAAGCCTAATCTAGTGGTGATGAAGTCCCTCAGCTTTTGTTTATTTGGGAAGGTCTGTTTATTTTTGAAGGACAGTTTTACAAGATGTAGTATTTTTGCTAGGCAAGATTTTTTTTTCTTTCAATACTTTGAATATATCATCCCACTCCCTTCTGACCTGTAATGTTTCTGGTGAGAAATCCACTGATAATCTTATGGAAACTCCCTTGTACATGATGAGTCTGTTTTCTCTTGATGTTTTCAAGAATCTCTCTTTGACTTTTGCTTTTGACCAGTTGGTTATTGTGTGTCTTGGTGTGAGACTCTGAGTTCAACTTAATTGGAGTCTTTTGTGATTCCTGAATTTGGATATCCATTTTCTTTCTCAGTTGAGTGGTTTTAAGCCATTATTTCTTCAAATAAACTCTCTTCCCTTTCTTGCTCCCTTCTCCTTCTGGAACTCTCATAATGCCTGTATTGGTCCACTCAGTGGTACCACATAAATCCCACAGACTTTCTTTATTTTCCATCATTCTCTTTTCTATTTGATCCTCTAATTCAATAACTTCAAATGACCTTTCTTTGAGTTCACTGATTCCTTCTTCTGATTGATCACATCTGCTGTTAAATGCTTATAGTGAATATTTCAATTCTGTTATTGCATTATTCAGCTCCATAACTTCTGTTTGGCCTTTATTCTGGTTTCTGTCTCTGTTGATATTCTACATTAGTTTGTGCATTGTTTTCCATTTGTTCTTTTTGTTTGTTTGTTTTTTGTTATTTTGAGATGGAGTCTGGCTCTGTCGCCCAGGCTGGAATGCAGTGGCATGATCTTGGCTCACTGAAAACTCCGCCTCCTGAGTTCACGCCATTCTCCTGCCTCAGCCTCCTGAGTAGCTGGGACTACAGGTGCCTGCCACCACGTCCAGCTAATTTTTTGTATTTTTTAGTAGAGACAGGGTTTCACCATGTTAGCCAGGATGGTCTCGATCTCCTGACCTCATGATCCACCTGCCTCGGCCTCCCAAAGTTCTGGGATTACACGTGTGAGCCACCATGCCTGGCTGTTTTTTTGTTTTTTTGTTTTTTTTTTTTTTTTAGATGGAGTTTTGCTCTTGTTGCCTAGGCTGGAATGTAATGGCGTGATCTTGGCTCACTGCAACCTCCAACCTCCACCTCCTGAGTTCAAGCTATTTCCCTGCCTCAGTCTCTTGAGTAGCGAGGACTACAGGCACCTGCCACCACGCCCAGCTAATTTTTGTATTTTTAGTAGAGACGGGGTTTCATCATGTTGGTCAGGCTGATCTCGAACTCCTGACCTCAGGTGATCCACCCACTTCAGTCTCCCAAAGTGATGGGATTACAGGTGTAAGCCACCGTGCCCAGCCTTCCTCTTTGTTTAGTTATATTTCTGTGTTCTCTTGTAATGCATTGAGCTTCTTTAAGGTGATTATTTTGAATTCTTTGTCAAGTAATTCACAGATATCCATTTTTAGGATTATTTTTTCTGGAAGTTTATTTTATTCCTTTGATTGAGTCATGTTTCTATGTTTTTCCATGTGTCTTGTTATTTTTTGCTGTGATGTGTGCATTTAAATATACAGCCACCTCTTCCAATCTTCATAAACTGCCTTCATACAAGGGAAGAGCTTCACCAATCGGCCTGGTTAGAGATTCTGGGGTCCTCCAAAATCTTTTCTGGGGATACATCTTTTCTGAGCTTATGTATCTGATTTCCCAGTTAGAGAGATTTGCAGTTTCTTTTTCAGGAGCTTCTAATCTCTTGCTGACACTGATGTCTGTCTGCAGTACTAGAAATTCTCTGATGTAATATGCAAGCTGCTGAATACCCTATTGTTTTCTGTGACCATAGGCATCCAAAGCATGCAGGTTCTGTCAATGCTCCAAGTCAGGTAAGACAGAACTCTGTTTGTAGGGCAGCCCCCTGACCAAAAAAAAAAAAAAAAAAAAAAAAAATACACTGAATTGCTGGATGCATGTTCCACTCTTCTCTTTTTCTTCCAAACGAGTAGTCATGAGCTGGGCATTTTCTCCCAGTCACTCCAAGCTGTACCAGCTCTTTCATGGTGATAAGGTTCTCTGGGGCCGCATCAAACTGCTGAGCAACCTTTTCTTCTCAGCAGTCCCAAGACATCCATACTATACTGGTTCCTCATCACTGCTTCAAGCCAGGTGAGAGGGAAACCAGTCCCTGAGCAGCCCCCTGAAAAGCTAGAACATTAAACATATGTTCTACTCTTCTCTTTCCCTCTCAAAGGAAAAGGCATGAGCTGGCCTTTTTCTCCTAATTTTGCTGTGTTGTGCCAGCTTGGAGGAGCTACTAAGGTTGAAATAAAATAACCTTTCTTACTCATTATAATGTGGCTGTTCTTGGCTTTGAGCTTGCCTGAGGTGCAATGATTTCTTAACTACTTTCTGGAGTTCTCATAAAGGCTTATTGTTGTCAAGTCAGTTTATCTGTGAGTGAATGAAGCCTGGGGCTTCCTAGTCTATCACTTTACTGACATCACTCTCTACTTTCTGTTTATTTCTTAACAAATTCCCAGATACTTCCTCTGGGCCCAAAAGTACCGAATCCATTTAATCCCATCACTTATTCATTATAAGGAGGAAAGCAAGGAGACCATGTTCTACAAGTCATTTCTGGCACTTTATTTTGCATCCACTCCAATATAATAAGTTCATAGTGAGCAGTGGTGGAGTAAAAACTTTAAAAGATGGAGAGAAAAATCTCTGTGTTAATGAGAGTTTTTCCAATTGACTGTGTTAAAAAAGAACACTGACTTTAGAATCAGACAAATAGCAGACTAGCAATCCCAGCTTGACTACTCAGTATGGAATATGGAGAAATTGAAATTCCCTGAGCCTTAATTTCTTCAGTAAATAATGCTGCCTTCACATAAAGTTGATATGAGTGTTCAATAATGAATGCAAAGTTTCTAGCCTAGAACACAGAACACAGTAGGCATTCACAGTAGGCACTCTCCTCCTCCAGTTAGCCAAATTAGATGAAAAGTATTATAGCAAGGAATAAATCATGTGAATAAGTTCAGTATATACCATATACCTATGGAAAAATATTGTGTAATCTAAAGACAAAATTTATATGTGCCTAAACTTTCAAATGATGTCTAGTACCTACTTTACATTTTTATAAACCAGCTGCCACATGCCAGGTAATTTGGTTGTTTGTTCTATGCCAACTAAATACCACAGTGAATTAGTGAGGTTTTTTGTTCTTTTTTTTTTTTGCTTCTCACTAGAAAAGTATTTTAGAATATAAAGCCTGAAAAGAAAGGCCAGATATTTGTAACTGACTGAGCAATACCTGGAAGGTTAAATAGGTACATTGAGGGATGTTGGCCAGAAAGGCTTCAAATGTATACCAAGAGAAAAAAACAAACAAACATAGGTGACATTTTGATATCACCATCAGCTTTACTTTAATAAGTAATAATAAAAGACATGAAGACATTGACATGTCTCTATAAATGTACACAATGCCAAAAGAGTTGGACATTATTTATTAGACTTGAACTGAAAAATATGTAAAGTAAATTTGCGTATTGATTCAATCTACCATTGACTTTCAATATGATTTTTAAAATCTCAAAGAAATATTTCCAATTTGAATAATTAATACAATTCATCCTTCAGATCCTGATAGTCATTTAAAGTACCATTAGCAATACCTGTCTACTCACTCCTACCAATTAGGTGGCAAAAAATAAGCCAGAGTCTAAATACCCAGGAATTTTTAAAACTCACTTCAAAATAAATCATCTCATTAAGGCTTTGCACTGCCTATTAAAGGCAGTAATGTAGATATTCAGCAGAAAATGTAACATGGAAAAGGGGCTGAGTCTGACTATACGGTAAAAACCCGTTATTAGAAAACTCTGCAATTAGCTCTCTTCATTAAGATCTGCTGGCTGGGCCGGGCGCGGTGGCTCACGCCTGTAATCCCAGCACTTTGGGAGGCCGAGGCGGGCGGATCACGAGGTCAGGAAATTGAGACCATCCCGGCTAAAACGGTGAAACCCCGTCTCTACTAAAAATACAAAAAATTAGCCGGGCGTAGTGGCGGGCGCCTGTAGTCCCAGCTACTTGGGAGGCTGAGGCAGGAGAATGGCGTGAACCCGGGAGGCGGAGCTTGCAGTGAGCCGAGATCGAGATCCGGCCACTGCACTCCAGCCTGGGCGACAGAGCGAGACTCCGTCTCAAAAAAAAAAATAAAATAAAATAAAAAATAAAATTAAAAAAAAGATCTGCTGGCTGATGGACCAAACACAAAAAAGCAAACAGGTTTTACAGGACTTAGTGCAAATTAATGACAGTTTATATTGCAATTTATTTTGCCCTAGATAACTTCCTTTGCAAAGATGTCAGAGAAAAGGGAGAAGGCAGTATTAACAGACAAATTACAAAATGTGTTACAAGTAACATACAAATATGTGCAAAAGTTCTTTCATTTATTGGTTTATTCACCTTTATGCAACAATTATTGAGCACTTACTATGTGCCAGGAAAGACTTCACAGGACAAGATCTCATGGACAATATATCCTAGTGGGCAAGACAGAAAATAACAGATAAGTAAATATATAAAATAATTTTAAATAGTGATGTATGCTATGAAGAAGATAATCTTATGTTACTGTCCTATCTTGGTAATTTAGCAGTCTCAAACTTTATGAAGCAGGTATAAAGAAAGGCTAACTTACGTGCTTTCATCTGAATCATTACATCAAATGATTGAACCAAGAAAAAGCCTTCCTCAGTTGGCTTCTTCATGAAAGTGACCACATCCTCCTTTCATGGAAACCGTTGGACTCACTCACTGACAGGATTTGACTTATCCTTCATGAATGTTGAAAATAAAATTACAGTTTTTTTGAAGTTTAGGAAACAAAAGAGAGTTTATTCAAGAAATAATGCCTGTGATAAAAAGAGCTCATTTGCACCATTTCTACCTGATTCTGAGTAGGCTAGTTAATGTTTTAGAAATTGCATTTGGGACTCAAGCAAAGCCTTTTGAAATTTAATGTTCTGTATATTCATAAAAGCATAATCAGATGTGTATTATTATTAAAAGTTCCTCTCATGGTTTTCATTTATGGTAAACGGCAATATGAAAGGACATAAAGAATACAAATTGATAAAAAATTTCCCTTAAAAAAAAAAGATTTTAGGATCCCCTTCCTCCTGCAAGACAAGTAGTTTCTGATGAGATTTGATTGACACTATGAGGTCTATGCACCTGGGTTGATATTCGTGTCTGTTTTTGCAATTAGAATACGTATTAGTGCTGACAAGCCTGGAAATTCTTCAGCACTTTAAAAGAAGCACAATTTTAGTCTTGCAAAAAACCTAATTATAATAAACAAAAAAATTATAGCTCTGATCATAGTAACCAGGTTGCAAACTCCTACCCAATAGTAGGAGTTTCAAACAACCTTCATTTAAGTTATTGTATTCACTTCACAGAGGAAAGAAATAGGGCAATTGAGCATTAAACAGTGTTGCAAATATGACTGGAAAACCTCCACCTGATTCAAGGGAAGTGTCTGTCCTCGGTGAAATGGGAAGATTGGTCAGGGGCCTATCCCCCTCTTGGAGGTAAATGAGGCCAAGTATTAATATTATTCTAAGCAGGTGGAGGTCTTACTATATTAGTCGGATAAATTCTAAAAATTAGGTTTATGCTTTAATGAGCTGCAGAAGGTTTGATTTTTTTAATGCTTCAACTGATCTGAATTCCTAACTCACAATACAGAATGGTCTTATGAAATGTCCCTATTCATAAAAGGTGCGTATTTCAATTTCTAGACAATTCATTAGACATTCTTCTCTGTTTAATCCATAAAAATAAAGCCTATTTCATCATGATTTGGATAATTTTGCAAAGGACGATGAGGCATCCCAGAGCTGGTTGCTTGCATAAACTGTTTTCATTTTCATGAATTTGTAAATAAATTACTGCCTGAACAACCAGACTTTTATAAGTCTTCAGGGTAGCTGTATTTAAAAAATTATACATAGTACTCTGACAGTACATTTCTCTAAAGGAAGTCAGAAAATTGTTCAAAAAGTATTTGGATTCAGCTTCTAGGACGTATTTAAGGTAGCAAACCTGCCCACCACCAGAGTATGAAGTAAAACAAGGCTAAGAGTGATAGAAGCATTTTTTTTTCTTTGAGATGGAGTTTTGCTCTTGTTGCTCAGGCTGGAGTACAATGGCACGAAGTTGGCTCACTGCAACCTCCAACTACTGGGTTCAAGACATTCTCTTGCCTCAGCCTCCCAAATAGCTGGGATTACAGGTGCCCACCACCATGCCCAGCTAATTTTTGTATTTTTGGTAGAGACGGGGTTTCACCATGTTGGCCAGGCTGGTCTCAAACTCCTGACCTCAGGTGATCCACCTGCCTTGGCCTCCCAAAGTGCTTGGATTACAGGTGTAAGCCACCACCCCCTGCCAATAGAAGCATTTTTTAACATGAGAGTCATTTAAAATTGCATGAGATCCTACCACGTAACAAACGCTGCATGCGTGCACTTTATGGGTGCATTCACATATGGCACCTCTTCCAAAGGGCATGCGATTTGGATTCCATTAAATTGAATGTTGCAAACTCATCAAAATGCAACCTTTAAAACTAGTTTTCCAAATGAAGAAACATCATAATACAATTTTATAGGCCGATGTGGAAAGGCTGTGTTAAAGACTGAATGCCTGCTCTCTGACACGTTCATCTTGTCAAGGCTTCCCAAAGGCACTGCAGACTTTGCAGCTGTATTAGCAGTGATTCCTTCGTTTGGAATGCCTGTTCCCATGCGCACACACTCTTGCTGCAGCCACATCATATTTAAAATCTGCCCTGATCCTCCTGGTTGACATCAATGTTGTCACTCCTCTTCATTTTCATAGCATTAAGCCCTATTTTGTACTTAACAGAAAGTAAGTTCGGCACAGAGGGAAGAGAATTGGGCCTGTTTTGTTCATATCCCATCTCTGGAGCTGAGCATAGTGACAGGTACACAGAAAGCTCTCATCTGGTATTTTGAATACATTATAACATTTTCCCAGTCTTTTCAACATATTGTCTCAGCACTGGTGGGGGAAAAATGCTGCAAAGGCCATGCTTTTCCAGCCTAAATCTTCCCCAGGACTGGCACAGTGAGTGGCACATAGTAGGGGTATTAGTCCCTGTGGCTGCTTAACAAAGTATCACAGCTGGGCTGCTTAAAATAACAGAAATTTATACTTTCATAGTTCTAGAGCCCAGAATTCCAAAATCAATGTGTTGGCAAGACCACACTTTTCCTGGAGTCTACGGGGGTGGACTGGTTCTTTGCCCCTCCCATCTTCTGTTGGCGTCCCTAAATTGTGGCTGCATTACTGCGGTCTCTGCCTCCATGGGCACTTAAGTTCCTCCTCTCCTTTCTGTGCTTTCTCCCTTTGCCTCTCTTTTATAAGGACACTTGTGATCATAATTCAAGGCCACCTGAATAAAGAAGGTTCATCCCCTCATGCCAAGATCCCTAACTTAATCACGTCTACAAAGACTCTTTTGCCAAACAAGGGAACACTTCCCAGTCCCAGGGATTAGAATCTGAGATCTTTGGATGACCATCTCTCAATCTACTACGGTAGACGTGGAGTAAGTACACGGAGTTTTACCAGTACAAGCACAGTGATACATGATCTGTTGGTTGATTCCATATATCTTGTTTTTGATGCTGTTTGCCAAAAAATATCAAAAGATCACAGCTCTTCTGCAAGGCAGTCATTTAAGCAGAGAAATAAATCCACTGTAACGGTGTTATTTCTCACTGTTGTTTTCTTAGCTGAGTGGCTGGTTTCTTAAGCATAGCCACAGCATCCGATGAACCCTAGAATTTCTGTTGCATTTGCAATCATCTCTCCAGTCACTTGGGTCCTTCTGCACTCGCTTCCTGCTCTGACTTATGTGGCACCATTCCACCATGTGGCAGGACTCCCCATCTTTTTTGTGGCACTGACACGATAGGACACTACACATTTCTAACCTTTATTTTCAACAGATTGTTCCCTCACTCAGCATAAAATTTCATCCAGCATTCTCATCACACGGTGAGGGTTCACTGATTTCAATGGTGTATGAAAATGCAGCTCTGGGCTGGGTGCGATCCGAGCACTTTGGGAGGCCGAGGCGGGTAGATCACGAGGTCAGGAGATCGAGACCATCCTGGCTAACACGGTGAAACTCCGTGTCTACTAAAAATACAAAAAATTAGCCGGGCGTGGTGGCGGGCGCCTGCAGTCCCAGCTACTCAGGAGGCTGAGGCAGGAGAATGGCGTGAACTCAGGAGGCAGAGCTTGCAGTGAGCCGAGATCGTGCCACTGCACTCCAGCCTGGGAGACATACCAAGACTTCGTCTCAAAACAACAACAACAACAACAACAACAACAATGACAAAAGACTCTCTGTTGTATGTGGCGTCAGAGACAGAAGCAGATGGCTAAACTGGCCTGTGCTGGGATCCCAGCACTAAAAGCCAGATGGTGTGGATTTCAGTCAGATCTTTCATAACCAACAAATTTGAGAAACAGATGAGGCAGGGCCAAGAACTACTAATTTTTTCATTTTATAAATAAGCACCATTAAGCTTTTCTTCTATAAAGCCTCTTGATCTAACCACTAACTAAGCTATTTGTCTGAAATCCTCAAGTCAATGTAGTAAATAAGCATTTACTAAATTTAAATTTAATAAAATAAGCATTTTTTTTTCCTCTTTTGGCCAATTTAGTTCTTTAGAAGTTGGGTTAACAGAAGCCAACTTCACCACCGTCAAAACATATGTTTGCTTTTACATAAGTAGAGGCATGCTGTTACTTCTTTTTAAAAATAGTTTAGGCCAGGCGCAGTGGCTCACGCCTGTAATCCTAGCACTTTGGGAGGCTGAGGCGGGCAGGTCACGAGGTCAAGAGATTGAGACCATCCTGGCCAACATGGTGAAACCCTGTCTCTACTAAAATTACAAAAATTAGCTGGGTGTGGTGGCGCAGGTGTGTAGTCCCAGCTACTCGGGAGGCTGTGGCAGAAGAATCTCTTGAACCCAAGGAGGTGGAGGTTGCAGTGAGCCGAGATTGCGCCACTGCACTCCAGCTTGGCAACAGAGCAAGACTCTGGCTCAAAAAAAAAAAAGTTTAGTGTAGAAAACAGTACTTTCAGATTGGGCTACCAGTGTACCATGCATAAATGAAAAGTGTCCTGTGTCATTAAACAGATGCATTTAAAAAAAGAATTTTTTTACAGGTCCACAAACAAGTTTGAAATTAGAAGGAAATTGTGAGCATTCAAATAATAAAGTGGCTTAATACAATCCAAATAAGCTGAAATGTTCAATTACAGAGTATATAGTAAAAATATAGATCCATGCTCTCTCAGTGCAAGCTGTCATCCCATGTCACAGCATGCACTATACGCCCTCTTCTTTTCTCTTACTAATATCTTTAAAGCTGCACTTGCACCCTTACCCTCACACGATCCTTCCTTACTTGCATGCTTTTTTTTTTTTTTGAGACGGAGTCTCCCTCTGTCGCCCAGGCTGGAGTGCAGTGGCGCGATCTCCTCTCACTGCAAGCTCCGCCCCCCAGGTTCATGCCATTCTCCTGCCTCAGCCTCCCGAGTAGCTGGGACTACAGGCGCCTGTGACCATGCCTGGCTATTTTTTTTTTGTATTTTTAGTTGAGACGGGGTTTCACCATGTTAGCCAGGATGGTCGCGATCTCCTGACCTCGCGATCCGCCCACCTCAGCCTCCCAAAGTGCTGGGATTACAGGCGTGAGCCACCGCACCCGGCCTGCATGCATTTTTAAACTGCATTCAACTCTTTAAATTCTTTTTAAATTTTATTTTTTAATTGACAAATAATACTAGAGGCAATGGTAACCATGAATTCTGAAAGAGATGACTGTTTTATTAAGAGCTTTTATTATTTTATTTTTGATCAACATAAAATAATTATACATCTCTATGGGTTACATAGGGATGTTTTGATACATACAATACAACCTTACTGAATTGTTTATCACATCTAATGGATTTTTGGCAGAGTGTTTAAGTTCTTCTATATATAAGATTATGTTGCCAGCAAATAGGGACAATTTGACTTCCACCTTTCCAATTTGAATAGGCTTTATTTCTTTTTCTTGCCTAATCACCTGCATAAGTTGTTATTGGATACCCACTAGATACTAGGCTGTTTGTTCTATGCTAGATGCTATAAGAATAGAAATATGAAAAAAAAATACCTACCACAAGGAATTTTAGTCCCATGGGCCAGCCCTAAGGCAGAGAGCTAGCTATGAGAGATATTGTGAATGGTACTAAGTGGCCAAGGAACACAGAGAACAGAGATGTGAATTCACATTCACAAGGGCTGGAGGAGGAAAGAGGCAACTGGTAGGTACGTGGCATTTCTAGGCCATTTGGTGTTGGTTAGGCTTTGAGTAGACAGATAAGAAAAAAAACGGGTTTTCAGTTGGGAGAACGGTATACCCACAGTATGAAGGCAGAAAGACTCGAAGGTTGTCTACCAAACAGCTTTCAGACCAGTGTGATCCAGGAGACTGGGAGAACTCTCTGAAAAAAAAAAAAAAAAAGAAAGAAAGAAACAGCATAAGTCGGATAACAAGGACCAGATTAAGGTTGGAAGTTTATTCATTAGACCCTAGAGACCCATCAAAATGTTTTGAGCAGCGTTATATTAGATGGGTATCAAATACTTCTGGAATCCATTGGTACTGGATTCATTATATTTTAACCACTCCACCAGGCCTACCATTAGTTACAACATGAGAAGCTAAACGTTATATTCTAACCAACACTTTATCTCCAGTTTTTGCAGAGAAAGCAGTCTGAGCTGCTGCTTTGACTCCACTCAGTAGTTTGTGATTAGTCTGAAATGCTCTACTGCACAGAGCAGGGTCAAGCACATTTCATACACTTGTTTAACAAGTAGCACTCAGGAAGTATATTTTCTGATCCACTTCATAGTATCACAATGCAAGCCGAAAACAATGACTGAAGATGGCAAGATAAAACTATTTGTAATGGAAGCAAATATAAGTTATCCACTTTTATTATTCAGTCCTCTGTTTGGATGGAACACATGAATATTAAAATGGCTGTATTTCATTCCTTTTCAAAAGTAGTAAGAGAAGGATAATCATATGCAATAAAGCATTTTCGGCCTGGGTCTTTATGACAGCTCTAAATGCCTGCCACATTTTAAATACCACAGGTGCAAAACAAATGTATAAATTCCTTGTTACATAATTTTCCATTTATATTGTAGAGAAACAAAATACAGTGTAATGGGGAATTTAATTCTCTGAATAGAAATTATATAATCTCAGCAAGAAAATTCAATAACAGCTTCTACACAGATGGCAAAAATCTGCTGAAAGATCCCAAGAGTAATGGAAGACAACTGGAATTTGCATATAAGATTGGATATCACCTTTCCAAAGCCGTGTCAATAATTTAGTTCCAATGTTTTCTGCGTGATTCACTAATTTTATAATTATAATTTTTGGCAGAATATGGGCTACTCAAAATGGTCCAAATGCAAAAAGTAGCTTTAAGCAGAACATGAAGTAATCTATCATCTTTTTATAAGTAAATAAATAATAATCACATTTGCTATTATTCATATGCTTTGCAAGTTTAGTATTTCTTTGTGTCCTGTAACATGTTCCCTTCAAAGTAATGGAAGATGGAAAATAACAACAATGAAAAGCTGGAACGTGCTCAAAATTTTGACACATCAGCAACACCACCAGTTAAATCCACATACTGCACTAAGATATACAGTTTAGTGAACAGTTGTCAGGCAAATCTATTGTGTGAGTGAACCAGCCAATGTGTTCAGCACTCTTATAACAACTAGTTTAGAACATTTTTTGATTGAGTAACCTGAAGACTCTAGGAGACTGAGAAGTGTGCAGAGACCCAGCCAGTAAAGATCTGGGACAGAAATTAAGAACGTTAGACTCCAGGTTGAGTGTTCGCTCCACGACACAGCAGAAGGGAATTGGAAAGACCCTTGTTTTTATAGTATCTTCATTGTCATAGGCTTCCTAAGAAGAAGAGTTCTAGGGGTAAAAGTCACCAAACGCAGAGGGAAAGTAAGTTTTCTTTCAGTGCTTTTTAATTAGCAAACTCAATAATGTTGGCAAATACATATATTCATCCCCTGAGCTGAGTCAACACAATCTAAATGAAAGAGAATCTGGGGGAGCATAAAGGAGGGAGGCTGTGAATTAACCAGCCTGGGGAAGCCTCAGACATCACTGATCAAGGTGGCCTAAGCATCTCCTGCATCCCAGCACATGTTTGGCTGTGGAGACACACTGTTTCAGAAGGCATACACACAACCACCAACAAAAACAGGTCTAGGTGGGTATTTTGCAGGGGAGACTCACAGGGCTTTCCTGCAGTACCATCTCCTCTCTTTATAAAAATTTAGAATCTTGTTCTGATTAGTCCAAACCCACAACCATGCCCTTCTCCCATTTTATCTGTTTCCCCCCCTATTTGGGAATAAATCTTATGGTTTAAATTACTTTGACAGGTAAATGCCAGTCCAGCATCAGCAAACCTGGTGGGTTGCCATAAGCTACTGGCAAAGTGCAACCACCAGGGGCGCCCGAAACCTGTGGAGGCGGAGATTGTGAGTTTGTCAAAAACAAGGACACCCTTAAAGCAGGCGCATTGCTGGGTGTGAAGCAGGGGAGGGGGCTTTAAAAAGGCCGTACCTTGGTCGGGCTCGGTGTTCACACCTGTAATCCTAGCACTTTGGGAGGCCGAGGCGGGCGGATCACAAGGTCAGGAGATAGAGACCATCCTGGCTAACACGGTGAAACCCCGTCTCTACCAAAAATACAAAAAATCAGCGGGGTGTGGTGGCGGGCGCCTGTAGTCCCAGCTACTCAGGAGACTGAGGCAGGAGAATGGCGTGAACCCAGGAGGTGGAGCTTGCAGTGAGCCAAGAATCGCGCCACTGCAGTACAGCCTGGGCGATAGAGCAAGACTCCGTCTCAAAAAAAAAAAAAAAAAAAAATCCTGTCCTCTATATATTGTCTCTTTTGGGATTCCACGAAGATGACATGCTAGTGTGGGACTGGGTCTCACCTCTCACCTGAAACTGGGAGCTGGAGGTCAATAGTCGTAACCTGGAAGTGCTGGCTGGCAAGGTTTTGGAGCAGGCTCATATAAGGGTGGTTGGAAGGTGCAGTTCTTGAGGGTACGGCTGCTACAAAAAAAAATACAATAAAATGCAATGCAATATTTGGGACATACTTATACTAATTAACAGTATTTGTCATTTATCTAAAATCCAAATTTAACTGAGTGTCTTAAATATTCATTTTCTAAATCTTGCAACCCTACTTGTGGTAGAGTGGGGAGGAGTCACAAAAAAAGGAGGTAAAAAGTCTCCGGGTCTGCTGTGTCGGAGAAACAGAGGTTAATACAGCAAGAGTCTGGGCTGGAAGTGGAGAAGTGGCTGAGATAAGAAGGCCCCTTACCTGACTGCCCTGGATTTAGGGGAATGGATGCTTCACAGTCTGCCCTGGGCATAAGAGTCAAGCAACATTCCTATGATAACCTGAAGAGTTCCATTTTTAACATACTGAATTTTGGATGGTGCAATTAATATCTGTTACACAGTTACCACATTGCAGTGTATCGATCATTTGCACTAATATCTAATTAAATTGTAAGTTCTGGCATTTTATCTTTCCATACCCATATCCTTGGAAAATGCTAGGTACATATTTGTGCTTGCTGATTTTTGAAAAAAAATTCAAAAAATTTTTTAACACATTTACTAATTAACCATAAACTCAGTATCAACCAGTGCTAAAACAGGGAAGAGGGCATGCAGCTACCTGGATATGGCACACAGCTACCTGAACAGACAATATTACAGGAAAGGCAATATACATGGAAAGTCTCTTCTCTCTGCACAAAAACGTATCTCAGAAAATAGTTTTTTCCCTGAGTTCCTGGCTCTGACATTAACAAAGGCAGACTGAGGGTGTCCCAGGTGACATACATGATGGTGGGGGCTACTGACGCCTTTTCATGTGTAGAAAGATTAAAAGAAGGAAAGACAGGCCGGGCGTGGTGGCTCACGCCTGTAATCCCAGCGCTTTGGGAGGCCGAGGTGGGTGGATCACGAAGTCAGGAGATGGAGACCATCCTGGCTAACATGGTGAAACCCCATCTCTACTAAAAATATGAAAAAATTAGCCGAGCGTGGTGGCGGGCACCTGTATTCCCAGCTACTCGGGAGGCTAAGGCAGGAGAATGGCATGAACCCGGGAGGCAGAGCTTGCAGTGAGCCAAGATCGTGCCACTGCACTCCAGCCTGGGCGACAGAGGGAGACTCCGTCTCAAAAAAAAAAAAAAAAAAAGGAAGGAAAGAGAGAAGACAGGAATTAGGAGGTCGTTAGAGACTGTGACATTCACCTGCCAGATCCAGATCCAGGTGAATCTGACTCTTTTTCCAGAAGCCCAGTTTTAAGCATTCAAAGTGCCCAATAATGCAAGACAGCCTCGCAACGGTAACGGGGACCAGGGCTCCTGGCCACTGGAAAAGCTACAGCTGATTCTAGGGGAACAGCCAACAGAGATGTAATACATACCTGCATTTGGGAGGAAGCGAGGACCAGGCATCATTAAAGGCTTGTCTACATTTAAGTGTCTGTGGTTCCAGATGAACCTGTCCCAATGCTTCCCTCACCATTCTCTCTTCCTCAAATCAAGATGGACATAAAACTGAATCACCTCATTACTTACCAAACATTACAGTGAAAGTCTCACTCACCCTCATAATTACTTAAAAAAACCTGCACTTACATGATTCTGAATGGGCAGATAAAAACATTGTATGTTCTGGCTTTATCAGAGGACTGAGGTTAAATGTGACAAGAACAAGCTCAGCTCTGCCCGGGGATGAAGGGCCTGCCTGTCACCCACACCCCGGGGATGTGGACTCCCAAAGGTATTCAGACACCTCTATCGCTCCCTGCTGTTCAGGGACCAGTGAATCTTGCTTGTGTCCTGCCTTAATTCCACTTACGACTTTTCTGACGATTGGACTTTATCATCTTTACATTTGCATCACTGCATCTGTGTATATGTCTGTAATATTTTTATGTTTCTCAAAACACTTTATGTTGTTTTTATTTATTCTAAAAATCGTAAGTGGAACTATAACAGAGTAATGATGCAAATTTCACTCACAATTGAAGATTTAAAAATCCAAGCCTCGGTTTTCTTTTCTTTTTCTTTTTTTTTTTTTTTTGACATGGAGTCTTGCTCTTGTCGCCCAGGCTGGAGTGCAATGGCGCGATCTCGGCTCACCACAACCTCTGCCTCCTGGTTTCAAGCGATTCTTCCGCCTCAGCCTCCCAAGTAGCTGAGATTACAAGCGCCTGCCACTACGCCCGGTTAATTTTTGTATTTTAATAGAGACGGGGTTTCACCATGTTGGTCAGGCTGGTCTCAAACTCCTGACCTCAGGTGATCCGCCCACCTCAGCCTCCCAAAGTGCTGGGATTACAGGTGTGAGCCACCGTGCCCGGCTTGGGTTTTCTTTCTTCTTTCCCACAAAGGTCAGTAGGAAACTGTTTGCAACAGGAAATGCCCTGGTCTCCAGGTGCTGCTCCAAGAAGTGGCTGACCCATTGCCATGTGTCATTCAAGTGACAGTGTTGAGGGACTAAATATGTCATTCCACGGTTAAAGTTGGCTACAACAAATTTGGCAAGAATTAAAATGTAAACATTTCGGGGAACATTGTACAGTTAAAGCATCAGAAATAAATGGCAAAACAGTTTGCTGCTCCTATAGTCAACCAAATGAAAGTTTAAAACAATAAAGAAACATTAAAGTTTCAGGCCAGGTCACTACTATTAAAGGTTTGTCCATTTCACTTAGAACTCAGTTTCTCTAGCTCAGTATTATTGATATTTTGTACCTGATAATTTTTTTGTAGCAGGGGACTGACTGTCCTGAGTGTAGTAGGACTTTGCAGGCCCTCACCTCTGTCGACAAGATGCCATTTGACTTTGATGAAAATAGGCTACCATGGCCGCAGTTGCCCTTGGATTCCAAGGCAGCGGAACATGAGCAAAAGCTTGGAGCCCTGTCACTTGAGATGGTCCTCAGTGATAAAGAAACAAATTATTTCTGGCCAGGCGCGGTGGCTCACGCCTGTAATCTCAGCACTTTGGGAGGCCGAGGCGGGTGGATCACGAGGTCAAGAGATGGAGACCATCCTGGCCAACAGGGTGAAACCCCGTCTCTACTAAAAACACAAAAATTAGCTGGGTGTGGTGGCGTGTGGCTGTAGTCCCAGCTACGCAGGAGGCTGAGGCAGGAGAATGGCGTGAACCCGGGAGGTGGAGGTTGCAGTGAGCTGAGATTGCACCACTGCACTCCAGCCTGGGCGACAGAGACTCTGTCTCAAAATAAATAAATAAATAATAATGGTAAATTCTATCATGTATATTTTACAACTTTTACAAAGGCATAAAACTTCATAAGAAAATACCTTCTTTGGAGGCAACCTCTGCAAAAGACAATGTGGCTTTGAGGGAACAGGGCATGGTACTGCTGAGACCCAGCAGCGGTGCCAGTGGCCAGGCTCCTGCAAGCCCATCTGTACCCCGATCCCAGCTCTGCCAGCCCGGGGCTCTGCTCTGGGCTCCCCACCAGGGCTGCAAATTGATAAAGCAGCTCTACACATATGAAAATATCTAAGAAACATAAATGATTCTCTAACTTGTATATTATGAATAATTATCCCAAAAGAGCATTTCCTCTTATGTGTGACAGGTGTCAGACCATCAATATAGGAGTGTATTAGGGTTCTCTAAAGAAAGGGACCCAATAGAGGAGATATAGATGTATATCGGGTCCCAGAGATAAATACACAAATATTTGTATGTGTACATATGTATATATACAGGAATCAGTTCACGGGATTCTGGAGGCTGCGAAGTTCCATAATCTGCCAACTGAAAGCTGGAAAATCAGGAAAGCCCACAGTGCAATTAAATCTGAGTCCAAAGGCCTGAGAATTAGAGCACTGCTGTCAGAGGGCAGGAGAAGAGAGATGTCCCAGGCCAAATACCAACAAGGGATTCCCCTTTCTCCGCCTTTTTGTTCTACTTGGGCCCTCAGTGGTTCAGATGATATCTGCCCACATTCGTGAGGGTGATCTTCTTTACCGAGTCCACCAATTCAAATGCTCATCTCTTCCAAATCACACTCACAGACACACCCAGAAAGAGTGTTTGGCCAGCTGTGTGGGCATTCCGTAGCCCAGTCAGGTTAACAGATAAAAGTCACCATTATGAGGGGAAAGAGCAAGTGGGGACGTATGGACTATGCACCCTCACCTTCCCAAAGTGGGGACTATCAAAAGTAGATTGAGTTAATCATGCATAATGCAAAACGTAAATCAAGGCTCTGCTTGTTTCATGATAGTATGAAAGATAGTATAAAAGTTACAGTTTTGGCCGGGCACGGTGGCTCACGCCTGTAATCCCAGCACTTTGGGAGGCCGAGGCGGGTGGATCATGAGGTCAGGAGATCGAGACCATCCTGGCTAACAAGGTGAAACCCCGTCTCTACTAAAAATACAAAAAATTAGCCGGGCGCGGTGGCGGGCGCCTGTAGTCCCAGCTACTCGGGAGGCTGAGGCAGGAGAATGGCGTGAACCCGGGAAGCGGAGCTTGCAGTGAACCGAGATTGCGCCACTGCAGTCCGCAGTCCGGCCTGGGCGACAGAGCGAGACTCCGTCTCAAAAAAAAAAAAAAAAAAGTTACAGTTTTTAAAGATAAAACAAACACAAAGTAAACAACAAACAAACAAAGCTCAGAGGTTGGAAAGTTTTGTATGAACCAGAATTAGTAGAACTTGTCCTAAACGTGAACTCCGGACCTCCTCATAAGTAACTTAGTCACGCAACAACTGTGCTGAAGATGAACAAGCATAAATGTTGAGAATTGTTTGGTTTTCAAATGCAGAATCAAATTAGCTGTAAAGTCATTTCATTATGTAAGCTACGCTGCGTCTCTCCCTATGGTAGTGTATATATGATATTATGGTAAAAGGAAATGCAATAGAGCAGCCTTAAAACCCTTGATTGAATCCAACAAGTCTGGGACAATTACCTCATTCCTCAAATATTTTATTTAATGTCCTGGTGGTATTCAGACTCTCATCCCCTAATGTAATTCTGTTTTATAATCAGTATTATCAATGATAAATTGGTATCTTTAATCATAATGAGAATTGTAGGCAAATCTTCTCCCTGCTTCAATAAGAAATCTAATTTTTCTTTTAGAAAAGAAAGGATGTTTTCCTCTAGTGATACATATAACTACACTTCTTATTAAATAATTTCAGCTCTCTTGTGTTTTCTAAAGCTTTCATTTTGCAGTTCAATAGTACTTAAGGTAGGATTGAGTCCCACATCTGTTTTAGCATGCTGGTGCCGCCAAAGTACCACAAACTGGAGGCCCCAGACAACAAAAATGTATTAACTCACAAGTTCTAGAGCCAGAAGTCCAAAATCAAGGCTTTGGCAGTGCTGGCTTCTTCCTGGAGGTTCGGAGGGTGGCTCTGTTCCCTGCCTCTCTCCTGGTGCTTCCCAGCAATCCTTGGCCTACAGCTGCACTAGTGCAGTCTCTGAGCTGTGGTCCATCATGCTTTTCCCTTTGTATCTCTGTGTCTCTTCCTATGAAGACAGGAGTGATTGCAGGAGGGCCCACACTGATCCAGGATGAGCTCATCTTAACTTGATTTTTCTGGCAAAAACCCTATTTCTCAATAAGGTCCCAAGCTGAGCTTCCAGCTGAACAGGAGCTTTGGAGGGACACTATTCAACCCACATGACCTCCCTCTTCTGAAACCAATTTCTAAATAACCTTTCTTGTTATATTTTCCATTGATTTCTGGTTTCTTGCTTCAGTCCATCAGTGTGGTGGTGGATGAACAGCAGTGGCCGAACAGTTTCCATGATCCTGTTAGCACTTGTTCTTGTTACACTCCTTGTCCCTTTCTCTTTCATGGCCTTTGTCACTGTTCAACAGTCAGAGGACTGATGCTAGGTGGACCACCAATACAGCCTGTCCACCAAACCTCAGTGGTCCATCCAGATGAGCAGGGGCGAACTAGAACCCTTACCTGGGACTTAATCTTAGAATTACACAGAAAAGCCTTTTTTCTCTCATCAAAAAGCCTCAACACTTCAGCTGCTATGGCATCAGCCTTATGAAGAAGCTGACCTGGGAGAATAAAGCCAGCACAAGAGAGAATCATAAATGAAAGATAAGAGAGTCCCAACAGCACCCATGTTCCTAACTTCACACATTAAAGCCAGTTTCAAATGACCTAAGATCAATCCACTTTTTTTCTTAGTATTTGCTAATTGCAACCAAAGAATTCTGACTAAAATAGACATCGGAGGTGTTGTGTTATGTTTTCCCAGAGTTGCCACAACATATTATCATAAACTAGGTGGCATGTAAACAGAAATTTATTGGCTCACAATTCCAGAAGATCAAAGCCTGAAGTCAGGTGACAGCAGGGCCATGCTCCCCCTGAAGGCTCCAGCGGGGAATCCTTCCTGCGTCTTCCTGGCTTCAGGTGGTTGCCAGCAATTCTCGGCTCACAGCTGCATCACTCCAATCTCTCCCTTCATCACTGCATGGCCTTCCACCCTCTCCGTGTCTCTCTGTCTTTCTGTGTCTCCAAATCTCCCTCTCCTTGTAAGGACACCAATCATTTCATTTGGGGTCCACCCTAATCCGATATGACTTCATCTTAACTTCATTACATCTACAAAGACCCTATTTCCAAATAAAGACACAATTCCAGGTTTTGTGTCTACTACATTTACAAGTGACGAACACTAAAATTTGATCTTGGCTGATTCAAGGTGTGACAGAGAACCTTGAATAGGCTCAAGGAGGCAAAACTACTTTGCTGCTTAGTGCACTGTGCATTAAGTTCTTCCCTTTTGTCTCTTGGGAGTCAATCCCCATGCATTCTGAAATGATTTAGGGGACCTTGCAGAAATCAGTGTAGTCAATTGTGTCAACTACTTCCTAAGAAATTCAGTAAGATGCAGTGGAAGCTCTAGAGAGAAGCCACAGGCTCAGCCAACCTGCGTAGACACAGAAATGGAACAGGTGAGCAAACATGCATGGGGAGTAGCATTTAGCCCATGTCCAAATAGCTAACACCATTTAAGGACAATCGTGCAGTGACCAGGAATGAGGACACTCAGGAAGCAGCAGAGTGGACTCCCTTGGGCAAAGGGCAAGGCAGCTGCTGCTGTCAAGGGGCAGAAAAATCCCAGGCCGATCCAGACTTAAGATGTGGTTTGTATACTCTCCTTGCTGTGGGAGATTGGATTATGGTCTATCAAAGATTCACTCTATTCTCTTTAACCTCCATGACAGAAGCATACTTCTCTCCCCATTGATGTTGGCCAATGAGCATTAACAGACTTCACCCAAGCAGGGGCTTGAAATGCTCATGAAATGCCTGTCCCTTGTGCTTCTGCCATTGCCCCAAGGAGAGCACATGCTAAGCAGCACGGCACGGGAACAGCTACATGAAGCTGACTTGAAACCCACCTGCAGCCTGGAGCCAAGCCCAGCCCTGACTTAATCAGCTTAACTCCAAGCAACCTGCTGATGTGCGAGCAAGAAATCAATGGTTGTTGCCATAAGCCATTGAGTTTGGGGGTGGTTTGTTATGCAGCATATTTGTGAGAATAGCTAACTAATAGAATAGCTAATAGAGCTCTGTTCCCGAGATAAAATGGATAGACAACTGATTAGAGCTTTAGAAATTGTATCGTTTTCCAATCCTGGCAAACAGGAATTCAAACCTTATTGTAATTATATTTGCTGAGCCAGAAACATTTCTCTGCCAAAAAAATAAGTTTAAAAATGAATATTCTTAGCGATCCCTGGCCCAAATAAAGCATGATACACATGCTGAGCTAAGTTGCATGTTCTTTATACATTGCTAAATAAGAATTTTCATTATCCTGTTTTTCCTCTACTGTTTCATTTCAGATGGTTGGGTAGCTAAATTTGATATGTGGCAGGATCCCATCAAGCTATTCATCCAGAACTGACCCAGAAAACAAACCTTGGCCACAGTTCTGAGCTCAGAGTTAGACCCAAAGCTGCCTTGCTTTGACATTCATCCTTCCTCATCCTCAGCCTGCCTGTTCCCTGGAGGGTGCTCCTGCGTGCCCTCCTTACGTGGTGCTTGTGTGCCCACCTGCACCCCAGAAGGAGCTCCCAGCTGGCCTGTTCCAGCCCCATGTCACCTCCTACCAGCTTCTGCCTGGGGCAACCCAGAGAACCTCCTCTCAAGCTGGTGAGCTGCAACCACACCTCCAATGAGTCAGAGGCCCAGTCTTGGGGAGTGGGGCCCCTTTTCAAGTTTGTTTCTTCCTTGGGGACTCTCCCAGAGCCCAAATATTTTCTTCAGGTACCCCTTTATTGTTAACCCCATATAACATTTAATATTATTTATATTGATTTTCCTTTCCAAATTACTATGTGGTTTCTGTTTCCTCATTGGATGTTGATTGATTCAATTGCAGAAACTGATACAAGTTTCTCCTAAATAAACATTAATTTTATTAGTGACAGTTACTATTCTCTGGAAACCTAAATGACTTAGTTTTCTTTATTAAAATGTTTTGTTTAACAGCCTAAGCTAGGTAATTTCAAGCTTATTAATTTTCACTACATTTTATTTCAAATACACACTGGTGTATGCAATCTCTCCATCTCAGACTCTATTTAGCTCTCCCAAGCTCCACCGGCCTCACTGTCTCCCTCTGTTTCTAAAGTGGCTAACCCACAGCACAATGTACACAGAGTTTGCGAACACCCTAACCATACTGATCTGAGGAGTAAAAGAAAGGAACTAACAAAATTTTTTTGATTTCTATATTGTTGTTTAATTTCTATAACAACTCTACATAATAAAGTTATATTGTGAAAAAAGCTTCAGATTAATTTGCTCAGAATCATGTGATCATAAGCAAACCTCTATCCTTCAAAACATTTTTTCCACTGTCATGCAACTTTTTCATTAATATGATTTTTAATTGAAAAATCATCATTGTACACATGTATTGGGTACAAAGTGAAGTTCTGATATATGTACATGATGTGGAATGTTAAATCAAGTCAATTTACGTATTCATAATGTCACTTATTTTCTGTGGTGAGACATTTGAAGCTTACTCTTTGAGCATTTTGAAGTGTACTTTTAAAATGGTGGGATCATCATCTGGACTATACAAGAAATCTGTCAGTATGGTTATAGTTTCATAGAATTCCTTATATATGTGCACTAGGCAAAGAGATGGGAACAGAGTATTATTAAACTGGTGACTAGCACACAGTAGATTCACAATAAATACTTATTGAGTAAATAAAAGAAAACAGAAGAGTACAAAGTGAATCTTAGAAGTTACAAAAAAGGTGGCAAATTTGGTCTGGAATCCAAGCAGCAGAGGAACAGGTGGATAATACGCATTGTTAATTTCAGTATCTGAAACTCAATGAATAACGAAAGCAATAAAAACAAAAATGGCTGCCACTTATTGAGGATTTACATATGCCAGATCTCTGTCATATTATTTAACCTTCAATGAAAACTTATTGGAATATAGCCTGTCATTATTCCCAGCCTGCAGATGAGAAAATTGCGGGACATGACCTACCTGGAGACTCAGATTAAGTGGCAAAGTCATGACTGAATCAAAATTCAAACTTTTGGCCGGGTATGGTGGCTCATGCCTGTAATCCGAGCACTTTGGAAGGCCGAAGTGGGTGGATCACCTGAAGTCAGGAGTTCGAGACCATCCTGGCCAACATAGTGAAACCTCGTCTCCACTAAAAATACAAAATTAGCCAGGCGTGGTGACACATGCCTGTTATCCCAGCTACTCGGGAGGCTGAGGCAGGAGAATTGCTTGAACCTAGGAGGTGGAGGTTGCAGTGAGCCAAGATCATGCTCCATCCAGCCTGGGCAACAAGAGCAAAACTCCATCAAAAAAAAAAATAAATCCAAACTCTTAGCTACTGCCCTTATACTAATTGTCAAGAAAGAAGAAAACACAACCCAAATTCTTGAAAGGAACAGGGTGTGGGCAGCCAGGGAGTGCTCCCAGGTGTGTGGGCCCAGCGGCACCAGACTCTGCACACAAGAGTGCCTCCTTTCCACCCAGGCCTGGTTTCATGGAATGCCTGCTTCACCTGCCAGCATTTGCCTCAGACACATAAACTTCCCATGGAGTATATGAGTAAGCTCTGACAGCTCCATTGTTGGTGAGCTACTAGATAGCAGGAATTATAACCCAATTAAATTCAATACTCTATGGAAAAGGAAAAGGCAATGCAGTCCATCTTACTGATAGACAATTTTAGAATAGGTGTCTGTGATAGAACACACACATTATTTAATCCCCAAATAAGGGTAAAGTTTTAAAAGACAGTAAACCATAGCAGGCTCAGATATTATCTCTAAAGATTTTATTTGATATCCAGGATCCAAGAATGAAAAACATCCAACAATTATGAAACCAGCTTTTGCAATGGCTATCATCACCCAGGAAAAGGCATTGTTTAAAAATCCAAAGAAAATGGAGCAATGTTAAAACCAATCAAGCATTCAAGAACAGATAAGGGATTAAATAAATAATGGTGAATCCATGTTATGAAATATTGGAGCTGTGCAAATGATATTTCAAGTAATCTTTATGACATGGGGAATATTTTCACTATATAATGTCATCTGAAAAAACATGCATAACGCCAATCTGTTTACACAATTTCATCTCAATTATTGAAAAGAACACATATCTATAAGAAAAAAAAAAAAAGGAAGAGGCAGACTCCCGTGGAGGGCAGTTGTGCCAAGCAGAGGCATGGCCTGATGGGCTCATTGGCACCACAGATGTTGCTCTGTGGTGGGAAGAGGAGGCTGGGGGGCCAAATTCTAAGACGTGTGGCTCTCTGCATATATAGCTACGCGCGCACACACACACACACACACACACACACACACACACAAAGGATTTTCAACAGAGATGCAATCTACAAACTTCCTAGTGACAGGTATCATGTAGTGAGTAAACCCCCAAAAGAATCTTATGCCTATGAGGCAGAAAATTACAGATTTATCAAACTTTCCCAATTATCCATATCTGTCCCTGTCCCTTTCCTCCCCTCGGCAGAGGATGTCTCATGCTTGTCTTCTCAAAAAATGATAGTTTTGGAAAGGCCCAATGGCTTCATCCGTGAGTCGCTAAGGTGCCAGAAACCTTGCAGGATTTCCCGTGGTCTTCTGCTTTTTCAGTCTCTTTGAGTTCATATTTAGGGGCAGAAAAGCAGGAGAGCCTGAACTTGAGGCCCTGGAGCTGCTGTCAGTAAACCTGGAGAGAAGGGCTGTGTGTCTACACTCCGAGGTGCTAGATCATTATCCCCTTCAGTCTGGGTGTCTGAGAAGCTTGGTCTATCAGTCTAGCAGAACAGACTGAAGATTCCATAGGAACTCAAGGGGAACTGACTCCCGCCCTCCCTCCAGCCTCCAAGCGTGAGAGGGCATCACTAAGTCCTCCTGGGGCTCTGGCTAGAGTTCATCTGGGAGGTCTTAGAAGGCTTAATTTTTCCAAATTCTCCTTCTGCTTTTACAGAATAATCCCAAAGTTGATTTTTTATTGAAGAAAAAAGATCTATATTATAAGGGTTCTTATGTAATTATTACAAAGGTAGCCTACATAGTGCAGAAATTGGAATTTGATTAGTATAAATGCATTTTTATCTGAATTTTTGCAAAGTAAGTTCAATAAGTCATTTGATTTGTTGATATTCAGTGTTTATAATTTTGTAGAGACGTGTTTTAACTTTTACTCTGTATTTCTGTGCTCAGAGAGTTGTTTGATAAGCCTGTGCAACTTGACTTCGGAGTTTTATTTCAAGCATATGTAGTTTGTATCAGGAAATCATATTTTTTTAGAATTATGTATTCATCATAGAAAAATCCTTAATTAGCAGTAGTGAAGGAAAGCTCTTAGACTGAAGACTGATTAGCCCAGCCTCCAGAGGAGATGTATGTTAGTGGGACAACGTCCTCTAATAAAGGAACATTCAAGTCAGAAATCACAGCGAAACACCTTAAATTGTTAACCACGAAGGAAACAGCGCCTCCAAATTGATAAGGCATTTAGATCTGCCTAGGCGTTAAAGAAAGTTTCATAACTGCCCACACATGTATTGCAAATATTGAATCATTAGCAATTACTTTAAATATGTTCTTTGTATTTAAGGTGACAAGAATGTTTTCTCCCTGTGGCATGCTCACCCTGGGTTCTTGGAGAACTTTAGACCAATGATGTGGCCAGCGAGTCCCAGCCCAAATCATGAAATTCAAAGACGTGAGAATATGCTGGCACTTACTGCGTGCCGGGAGGGTCTCTCAAAAGGAGAAGGAACTCAGTGGTCACCTGAGGCAGGATCTTTCACACAGCAGCTCTTGTATGCAAAGAGAACATGGCGCAACTCTTTATTAACTACACTGATTTTTTTATTTTTATTTATTTTTAATTTTTTCAGAGCTGCCCCTGCTGATTATAAGGGAAAATTATCTATTAAGATTGAAAACATTAAACTCATAATTTACACTGGTTTCTCAGTTAACTCTCAGTATCCTGTAGGAAAAAGGCCAGTCTGCCAATGTTCTAGGTTACCCAGCCTCGCTGTGACTAGTCAAGATGGCATCAGAAAGGCATCATAGCTCGCCAATAGCAAATGTGTGTGTGTGTATGTGTGTGTGTGTGTGTGTGTGTGTGCACTCTGTTCCTAGGCACTGGGGACACTATTGGGAAGAAAATGTCAAACTCTTTGTCTTTACACAGCTCATATTTTAGTAGGGAGTTGAAGAAAGAAAATAAACAAATACATGTGTCATATGGTGATAGGTGTTAAAAAGAAACATGGGACCAGGGGCTATAGTGAAAGTAGTGCAGGGAGAATCATTCTAGAAGAGGTGGTCGGGGAAGCCACACTGATGTGGTGGTGACTGGGAGCAGAGATGTGAATGCAGTAAGCTGGCCATCTGGGCTATGTGGGGAACACATTCCTACAGGGCAGAAGACATAATAGGTGCAAAGGCCCTGAGGTGTGAGGGCACCCCCACCCTGGGTGTTTCACATACAATCTTCATGAAAAGCAGTGGGGCTCATGGGACCTTCAAGCCAAGGGAGAGAGTCAGGATCCTGGGTTGCCATGTCCGGGACAAAGGACCTCCCCATGTCATTTCTTCTTGCCTTGCTGACGTTCTCAGCTAGGTCAAGGCTGGGTGTTGCTCCTGATTTATTTCACTCTGGCCCAAAAACTCAGCAGCCTTCCTGGCTGGTGCAGCCCTACCCAGGTGCACCCTGGCCCTACATCTCATATCTGGCTGCACCTCCAGTTTGGGTCTGGCCCAGCTGGGCCACTCTTCAGCCTCTTCGTCTCTGCCAGGTTTACCCCTCTTGATCCCATATACGTCCAGGAGCCAAGAGAAGCTCAGGCCCCGCACCTCAGGGCCTCTCACTTGTTGGCTGTGCTATACCACCTAAGGGCCTTGGCTGAGCCTGAGTTGGCGTGGGGGCTGCTTCAGGAGGCCAGTCTTTCCCGGAACCTGAAACATGAATGGGGCGAGGGCCACCCTCCCCACACCAGGACCACAAAGGAGTGGGCTTTCCTTGCATTTCCCCACATCACGTCCTCCACCCTCACAGCACCAGCTCTGTGCTGACAGCAAATGAAGATATTTTCTGCACACATTTGTAGAATGTGTAGGATTGGAGTCTTCCAGGCTTAGCCCACTCTCATCCAAAGGAGGCTTATTATACTGTGAAGCTTCAGCCAACAAATCAGAGGCCAAATATGACATTGTCCAGCTTCAGTTCCATTTGCAAAATATTTCTGCCTTTAGGCCGCACTGCCTGGTGAAGTGTGCCCTCTTCCCTGCCTGTGCCATCTTTTGACTAATAGTCACGTATGTACTGCTACATATTTTTATTAGAGAAGTTACAGCCCCATTCTCACTGTTATCTTAAATTTGAAATTACTACCTCAATTTAAACTAAAGATTTAATTCTTGTAAAGCAAGAATTTTAAGTATGGTCACATTGGTCAATAGTGTAATAAACAATTGTTGTGTAAGAAATAAACACTATACCTATGTATACAGTCTTAAGATTTTATATGTCTTGCATATAGTTGATTGTATCACTTAATGAACAATTTTTAAACTGAAATTTGCATATATATGATAAACGATAGAAAGATAAATGATAGAGAATAGGTTATATATACATGTGTGTACAAATATATATATATATAGAGAGAAATGTATATAATTCACTGAATGATTTCCTTCAGTTAGAAGGAATCTATGCACATCTATTTTTTTTTCCATCTTGTATTAGATGGAAGTTATATTTTTTCCTTAGGCGTTACCATAAAAGGATGAAAGGAGATCAAGGGAGGCCAGAAGGGAGAGTGTCTGTAGCTACATTCCCAATAAGTTCTTTCCAACTGCCACTTAGGCAATTGCTAGAAAAACTATCAGCAAAGAATGGGGCTTGCTTTGGCTTAAACTGTCAACGCTAGGTTGTTTGGGTCCTCACGCTGATCTGTGCCAAGGTGCAATGCTTTATCAAGGCTGCAGACACCTTTCTAGTAGAAGCGCCACTTCAGCCTGGAGGAAGCAGCAGGGAGACACCAGGGCAGGACCCCAAATGCCACAGCCATTCACAGGCCCTCAGGCAGCAGTCACCAGTCCCCATTACTGAGAAATGACTTGCAGTTGTTTGTTTCTCTTATTCTGTCTTGGAAGCCACATTGTGGTTCTTACTGGAGTCTGACTCATTTATATTCATGTTTTAAAGAAAAATTTTTTTTTTTTTGAGATGGAGTCTTGTCCTGTCCCTCAGGCTGGACTGCAGAGGTGCGATCTTGGCTCACTGCAACCTCTGCCTCCTGGGGTCAAGCAATTCTCCTGCCTCAGCCTCCCCAGTAGCTGGGATTACAGGCACCCGCTACCACACCCGGCTAATTTTTTTTTTTTTTTTTTTTTCGTAGAAACAGGGTTTCACCATGTTGGCCAGGCTGGTCTGAGGAACTCCTGACCTCAGGTGATCCGCCCGCCTCGGCCTCCCAAAGTGCTGGGATTACAGGCGTGAGACACCACGCCTGGCCAGAAAACATTTTTTAAGTATAGAAAAATGAAATTAACTGCCGTGATTCAGGGTTGGAGGAATTAAGTCAGTTGTTTTGTTTTAAAAGTCTTGTGTTACCACAAATGTGTAGGGAAAGAGTCAGAATAAGAGGCCATTTCTATCCACTCAAGGATGAAACAGGGCAGATGTTCAGTGCCTGCTGCCTCCATTCCAATTCAGCAGCTGCCTGGGGTAACAGGGCCCATATTTCTTTATCTTCTAGATGAGAATAAGCCTGCTTTGAGCACGGCAGACTTTTTTTTTTTTTTTTTTTTTTTGAGACGGAGTGTCGCTCTGTCGCCCGGGCAGGAGTGCAGTGGCGCGATCTCAGCTCACTGCAAGCTCCGCCTCCCGGGTTCATGCCATTCTCCTGCCTCAGCCTCCCGAGTAGCTGGGACTACAGGCGCCCACCACCTCGCCCCGCTAATTTCTTGTATTTTTAGTAGAGGCGGGGTTTCACCATGTTACCCAGGATGGTCTCGATCTCCTGACTTCGTGATCTGCCCGCCTCGGCCTCCCAAAGTGCTGGGATTACAGCGTGAGCCGCCGCGCCCGGCCGAGCACCGCCGACTTCTAACCATGACTGGGCATCCTGAGCACTCATTCCCCAGCCTGACAAGAGGAACCAGGTGCGCCAAGCATTGGGGGGATGGTCACTATTGCTGACCGGTCTCCCTCGGGCGCTCCACTCTGGGCAGCTGAGCACTCTGCCAGGAGATGGGGCAGAACCACCCCAGTAACCACACACTCCCACTCTGTTCCAGGCATAGCGTCCAGCCTCTCTGGGCTTCCTCTGGCAAAGCCCGTCTAACTGCATGGAGCACAGATCCTGGGGCCACTTCTCTCTGCAAAGCCCTTTCTCCTTGTCATCTGAAGAAATCTGGAGAAATTTTCATAGACCTGAAACCCTGAAACCTACACTGGCCCCTCTGGGGTGCCAAGCTTTTTTCTTCTCAGTGGCCTGAATTTTTCTTTAAATTCTTTTTCCCACTTAAGAATGGGGAGAGGGAAGAGGAGGTTAAGGACAATCAGGATGTGAACACCTTAATACCTGAGTGGACTCTCCTCACACTAGATTCACAAAGAAAAATTAAACTACTTTTTAGTGATAGGATCATTTTAACTTTTCTTCCTGTAACATTTTCAAAAATGATATGTAAAAAAGAAAAACATTTCAGGTGTTTTCTGCTGGCAGCCTAGAGAAGTAATTGTTATTACTATTATTTTTACTGTTATTTATACACCCCATTATACTTCAGGGAATCTGAGATGAAAGAAACTAGTTTATAAAAACCAATACAAATTCTCATGATTCAAATAAACTGTTGGCTGGGCGTGATGGCTCACACCTGTAATCCCAGCACTTCAGAAAGCCAAGGCGGGTGGATCACCTGAGGTCAGGAGTTCGAGACCAGCCTGGTGAACATGGCGAAACCCCACCTCTACTAAAAATACAAAAATTAGCCGGCCGTGGTGGCACATACCTATAATCCAAGCTACTTCGGAGGCTGAGGCAGGGGAATCACTTGAACCCAGGAGGCAGAGGTTGCAGTGAGCCGAGATCGCGCCATTGTACTCTAGCCTGGGCAACAAGAGTGAAACGCCATCTCAATAAATAAATAAATAAAAATTTTAAAATAAACTTATAAAATTTCTTATTCTAATAATTTAACTCAGCACAGTTACAATTAAATAGTGTAAAGATCTTTTGGATTTGGTTTTGGCTTTTTTCTCAAATCACTCTGGGTGGCTCCCTGTTGATGTTCAACCATGTCTGGTTTGGTGGAATATGTAAGTTGAATAGAATGGTATTGGTAGTGATTTTCTGTCAATTGGTAAGTTAAGAAATGATTTAATTATGCAAAAAGCAGACTGTGCTATGTTATGAAAAGACCTCCTTGAGGGCTTGGGGTCTTTTCTTTCTCAGCACTGCTGAAACAGTGGATACCTAGCAAGCTTGGGTACAGTGTCCAGCTGAGGCTTCCACAGCTTACAGAGCAAACCTCACTGCTATGCCAGAGGCTTGTCAGGAGAAGAGCTTGGATCTGGGATACACAATTAAGAACTCATTTAAAAGAAAGATCCTGGAATGTTAAACATCAAAATATCTGTGCATTTATATATACAGTACATACTTAGTATGACACTGGTTACCAACTTGGCTGAGTCTGCTGAGATGGAACACAAACACACAAAAGTCACGTACGTGGATTTGTTACTTACAGATAGGCAGCACCTGGGATTCATGGCAAGCTAGTCCTCCAAGGCTGGGGAAAACTGCTCGGGGGAGGTGTAGTCCTGTCAGTGCATGCCACACTTGTACCTCAGCTAGGGACCCGCAAAAGCAGCCCACCCTGGGTTTTATACTCCAAGGTGAAGTTACCCCCTGGACAAAACATTGAAAGACATTCTGTTTCCAAGGAACTGGAACAGGGCCTGGGCTGTTCTAGCCATTCCTTTCTTCTCTCAGGATGTTGCATTCCCAGTACATTCTACAGTTATTCTTGAGAACTACAAGAGACAGGAGAGAGAACTGGGTTGGTCCAAGGCCACCCAGAGAACTGTCCTGCACTTAGATCATTCTAACCTTTGCAATTAAGATAAATGCTGCTAATTAGTCAACCTTCTGTTATGATAATTATTCAAACATAATCTTAAGTGCATTTATTATGTAACTAGAGAAATCAGAAACAAATAAACTGAGCATTGAACCCAAGAAGCTGGATGAAAATGCAAAAGAAATAGGGAAAAGATATTAAAAACAAGTTTATAAAATAAAAAAGAAACATTTTTAAGTGACATTTTCTGATTTTTTTCATGTTCATATCATTTGAATATTTTTCTACATGAATATTTGTAGTTTTAGTACTGACTTGTAGGAGCTGTAAATGGCAATTTATTGTTATATAGGATACAAATGTTTTTCATGTATTTATTCACTTTCCTATAAAGTTTATTTACACTATTCTCACTGATAATATTTAAAATTAGAACATAGAATTTAATATTCTTCAGATATACTCATCATAGCTAAATTTGATTATTCTCTTCTGTGTTATATAACTGTCTTCTGAGTTATCTGTTACTGGACATTTGGATGAATAGCTTCAAGGGCATGTGTTGGATATATTAACTAAATACTTACTGAGGTACATTGTTAACAAAAACAAAAGTTCAGTGGAGCTCATATTGATCAGCCAGTTTTCCACAGCAGTATCTTCATTCTGTGGATGACATAAAATCTAATCCTCCAAAAATACTGTTGTGTTTTTCCCTACATGTTTGTTCCTGACTTTAGTAAAGTGTTTAAATCCTTCTAAAAGATTCTGCCTTATATCAAATAATAGAAACAAATACCCAGATTCTTCTGTTTTTAAAGAGTTTAAAGTCAACTGCTTTTTATTTATTTTTTTTCAGAAATGAAAAGTAGGATGTTTTAAAAATACTTCTTAGGGCCGGGCACGGTGGCTCACGCCTGTAATCCCAGCAATCTGGGAGGACAAGGTGGGCAGATCACCAGGTCAGAAGATAAGAGACCATCCTGGCTAACACAGTGAAACCCCATCTCTACTAAACATACAAAAAAAAAAAAAAAAAAAAAAAAAATTAGCCGGGCTTGGTGGCGGGCACCTGTAGTCCCAGCTACTCGGGAGGCTGAGGCAGCAGAATGGTGTGAACCCAGGAGGTGGAGCTTGCAGTGAGCCGAGATGGCACTGCACTCCAGCCTGGGCTACAGATGGAGGCTCTGTCTCAAACAAAACAAAACAAAACAAAAAAACCTTTATAGGATGAGACCACTACACTTTTTTCAAGTGAGATCACTAGGTCATTCTTTTTTTTTTTTTTTTTTTGAGACAGAGTTTGCTCTTGTTGCCCAGGCTGGAGTGCAATGGTGGGATCTCAGCTCACCACAACCTCCGCCTCCCAGGTTCAAGCAATTCTCCTGCCTCAGCCTCCCGAGTAGCTGGGATTACAGGCATGCACCACCACGCCCAGCTAATTTTGTATTTTTAGTAGAGACGGGGTTTCTCCACGTTGAGGCTGGTCTGGAGCTCCTGACCTCAGGTGATCCACCCGCCTCGGCCTCCCAAAGTGCTGGGATTACAGTTGTGAGCCACCGCGCCCGGCCTAGGTCATTCTTATCATTGTTTTTACTTAGCACTTTCCCACTGTTGGGATGTAGCCGCTCTTAGATGATATGTGCCAATAGAGCAAATCATCAAAAATGGAAACTCTTCTGTTTCGCCAATATTTCAGTTTCACAATTAACTACTTCCTGATTTTAAGATGATGGCTGGTACAAAATAAACCCATTCCATTTTATTATACCATTTCCTTTTTGAGAGAAGTCAAGCATCAATGAAGATCTGTAAAACTTAGTTGAGTTTTCATTTCTCATACCAGAAGAATTTCCAGGGCTTTATAAACTTAAGAGAGAGCATTCTACTAATCAGTCCACTAAAATACGCTTTGAAAGTAGTTCCAAAATACCTTTTATAAGATTATTTACTATAAGTTTCTTCTGCATAAGTTTGTATATCACCTAACTTTTTAAAAATTATTAAGAATACATCATCATATCTTTCTTTAAATTCATCTTGGACTGATCCACACTATATAATACAAAATGAGAAACAACTAAAGTTGACACAGATAAAAATCTGTATCCCTCAGTACTCCTTTTATTAAGCAAAAAATGGAAAACAAACTAAGATATAAGGTATTTTATGAAATTAGGGATGCTATTACGAGGAAAATGTAGTAGTACTGGACCTGTCCAAGGTGAAAAGTTCAAAGAGAGAAATTTTCGTCCACAAGCTAAAAACCCAAAATGGCTACATAGCCAGTGTAAGTGTCAATCTCATTTCTGGAGTGCTGTAAGAAAATAACTATCAGTCTAGAATTCTATATCCAGCACAAATATTCTTCAGGAATAAAGTGGAACATCAAGAAGAAAGTAGAAACAATAAAAAGAGCAAAACTTTGGGTAAATACAGGTTTTCCTTCTACTCTTGAATTTCCAAATTATGTTTGACTATTGAAGTAAAAATTATAATAATGTCTGATGTGATTCTCGATGTATGTAGAAAAAATATTTAAGACCATTATATTATTATTATTATTATTATTTTTGAAACAGAGTCTCCTTCTGTCACCCAGGCTGGAGGCAGTGGCACGATATCGGCTCACTGCAAGCTCTGCCTCCTGGGTTCACGCCATTCCCCTGCCTCAGCCTCCCGAGTAGCTGGGACTGCAGGTGCCTGCCACTACGCCCAGCTAATTTTTTGTATTTTTTAGTAGAGACGGGGTTTCACTGTGTTAGCCAGGATGGTCTCGACCTCCTGACCTGGTGATCCGCCTTGGCCTCCCAAAGTGTTGGGATTACAGGCGTGAGCCACTGCGCCCGGCCAAGACCATTATATTATAAATGGAGAGGGAAAGAGACACAAAAGGGGATATAATTTCTATACTTTAACTGAACTGGTAAAATATTGATACCAGCAGAATATGCTGTTACGTGTGTATAATTTAATACCTAAAGGACTCCCAAAAAGCTATACAGAGAGATATACCCAATAACACTAGAGATAACAAAAAAATGGAATTCAAAAAAAAAAAAATGAAGTAGCCCACAGTGAAACAGGAGAAAGAAAAACATAGATGTAAGAAACAAAGAATAGACACAAAACAAAAAAAGAAGACTTAAACTCTAAAATATCAGTAATTACATTAAATGTAAATAGTTTAATTTAGAAGATTCTAAAAAAAAAAAAAACCCCAAAAAAGTATACAAATGAAGAAGAAATTTGAGCTTTCAAGGGATAGGAATCATGGGGGTAGGAAGGTGACAGTAAGGGGTTGCATGAGGGAGATCTCTGTGATGAAGGAGATCTCTGTGGTGAGGGAGATCTCTGTGGTGTGGGAGATCTCTGTGATGATGGAGTATTTCTGTATTTTAATTTCTGTGGTGGTTACACAAATCTACACATGATAAAATGACAAAACTATACAAACCATATTATGCCATTGTCAAAATCCAAACTTTGACATTGTGCTACAGTTATGTAAGATACATCTATTAGGGAAATTGAGTGAAGGGTATGAGGAAACTGTATTATCTGTGAAACTTTCTGCAAACCTATAATTATTTCCAAGTAAAAGTTTAAAAGACTCTTACAAAGAAACACAGAGATAAAAATATCAATGATTCAATAAAAGGATGGCAAATATACTCTCAGATAAACAAGACTAGGAAAATTTTGCCATAATCATATTATTCTACATCACTAAAGGAATTTCTTATAAAAAGAAGGGAAGTGACAACAGATGGATATTCCAGAATGCAAGAATAATTAAAGCACTGAGACTGATAAATATAGGAGTTAATCTAAGTGAACGTTGGCCATTGAAAAGCAATAGCATTTTACACACCTAGTAACAGATCCTCAAAATAGATGAAAGAAAAGTTGACAGAACTGAAAAGATAAATATGCAATTCTACAATAATAATAATTGGAGACTTCAACACCCCACATTCAATAAGAAATATATAACAAACAGAACATACGTAAGAAAATGGAGGACTTGAACAACACTATAAACCAGGTGGATCTAAGAGGCATACACAGAATACTCTACCCAACAACAACAGCAAACAAATTCTTAAAGGCACATGAGACATTTCTCCAAGACAGACCATATGTTAGGCCACAAATTAAATCTCAATAGATTTTAGAAGATAGTTGCCATACAAATGGTATCTTCTCAGACCACAACAGGATGAAGTTAGATATCAATAACAGAAAGCAAACAAAAAAGAAATGGAGATCTGCTATTACATGAAATGGACACTGCATTTCAAAAACTTAGTGTAATGGGAAAAGTTTCCTTATCCCCCAGCAGGGCGTGTGATGGGGGTGTGGCTCACTTCTTTGGTGCCCTGCTACTCATACCTCTAGGGGAACCATGCAGACAGGCAGGGCATGGGAAGCGCTGGCACCATGGCAGCCTCCAAGGTTGAGTGTTTACAACTTCTGAAGCCCCAGTGGGCATATATTACAGTTAACTCTTTCAGTTTTGTGGTCTGCAGGTGGCTTGTGTTAATTAGCTCAATTACACACTGTGCCTTATCGCAAGGACAGAGGGCTTTTTGTATCCTGGGTTCTTGCCTTGGTGTACCAAAAATATTAGATCACACGTGGGTTTGGAGAATGAGTGCAAGGTTTTATTGAGTGGAAGTAGCTCTCAGCAGATGGAGGGGAGCCAGAGGGGGGATGGATTGGGAAGGTGGTTTTCCCCTGGAGTGGAGCCGCTCAGTAGCCAAACTCTCCGACTGAATTCCCCTCAGCGTTTCGTCATTCCACTGGTGTCTGCCAAAGTGTTCCTCTGCCTGTGTGTTCCTCTCAATGTCCAGCCATTTGAGTGTCCTTCCACTTGTGTGTGTTCCTCTTGATGTCCAGCTTCTGTGTCTCTGCCCGCTAAGGTCTCAGGGTTTTATAGGCACAGGATGGGGGCATGGCAGGCCAGGATGGTCTTGGAAAATGCAACATATGGGAACGAAAGCAGAAATATCTGTCCTCACCTAGGTCCATGGGCACAGGCCTGAGGGTGGAGCCCTAGCCAGGGACCTTCTCCTCTACCCAACACTGCCCTGCCCTCCTCCTATATCATTAGTACAAAAGAAAGAATGTAAGATATCTCGATACTAATTCCTTTCATTGATGATGTATTGGAATGGTATGATAATACTACGAATATATTAAGCTAAATAGAGTATACTATTAAAAATATTTTTAAAGAAGGAAAACTAGAAAATTCAAAAATTTGTGGAAATTAAACAACACATTCTTTTTTTTTTTTTTTTTTTTTTTTTTTTTGAGACGGAGTCTCGCTCTGTCGCCCAGGTCGGACTGCGGACTGCAGTGGCGCAATCTCGGCTCACTGCAAGCTCCGCTTCCCGGGTTCACGCCATTCTCCTGCCTCAGCCTCCCGAGTAGCTGGGACTACAGGCGCCCGCCACCGCGCCCGGCTAATTTTTTGTATTTTTAGTAGAGACGGGGTTTCACCTTGTTAGCCAGGATGGTCTCGATCTCCTGACCTCATGATCCACCCGCCTCGGCCTCCCAAAGTGCTGGGATTACAGGCGTGAGCCACCGCGCCCGGCCAACAACACATTCTTAAACAAGCAATGGATCAAAAAAGAAATTGCAAATGAAATTAGAAAACAGAGATGAATGAAAATGAAAACACAACATACCAAAACTTGTGGGATGCACTGAAAGCTGTGCTCACAGGGAAATGTATAGCTATAAATAACTATATTGAAAAGGACATTCCAAATCAGTAACTTAACTTTCCACCTTAAAGAATGAGGATATAAAGAACAAATTAAACTCAAAACTAGAAGGAAATAAACAATAAAGATTAGAGCACAGAAAAACAAAACGGGGACTAGAAAAACAATAGAGAAAAATCAATAAAATCAAAAGCTGGTTTTTTGTAAAGATCAACAAAATTGACAAACTTACCTAGAAAGACTAAGAAGAAAAGGGAAAACATGCAAATGACAAAAATTAGACATGAGAATGGGGACAATACTAGTGATGTTATAGAAATAAAGAATTAAGAGTACTGTGAGCAATTGTATGCCAAACAAATAACCTAAAATAAATGCATAAATTTCTTAAAACACACAAATTATCTAAACTGACTAAAAAGAAGAAACCAAAGTGATTAACAAATATAAATTTTAACAGATATAACAAATAAAGAAAGAGAGAGAGAATTCTGGAATGGCAAATTAAGAAGCACCGGGAAACTGTCTCCCCCAACTAGACACAATTGCATTGATAGAATATGTCTGACGTAATTCTTTTTTTTTTTTTTTGAGACAGAGTCTTTGCTCTGTCAACCAGGCTGGCATTCAGTGCCACGACCTGGACTCACTGCAAGCTCCGCCTCCTGGGTTCATGCCATTCTCCTGCCTCAGCCTCCCTAGTAGCTGGGACTACAGGCGCCTGCCACCACACCGGCTAATTTTTTGTATTTTTTAGTAGAGACGGGGTTTCACGGTGTTAGCCAGGATGTTCTTGATCTCCTGACCTGGTGATCCACCCGCCTCGGCCTCCCAAAGTGTTGGGGTTACAGGCGTGAGCCACTGCAGCCAGCCTGATGTAACTCTTTTGGAACTCTAGAGTCTGTTAAAGGTTTGCGACTTCCAGGGAAAGGTTGGATGGTAAATTGCATTAATTTTGTCAATTTCAGCTCTTAGCACAGTAGCAACTATCCATCCCTTACCTCCACTCACATGGCAGGTAGCTGTGCATGCATTCCAATAGTAGTTTCCATTCAGCTTGCAGAGGCCAGGGTGGCCAAATAGTACCCTGTCCTCCAAATATCAGAGATCTATTCTCTGATTGCTAATTGCTGCTTCTGATCTCAGATATTCTGATAAAGGATTAATATCCAGACTATATGAAGAACTCTCAGATCAGAATATCTCAGACATTCTGATAAAGGATTAATACCCAGACTATATGAAGAACTCTTAATACTTGATATGGTTTGGCTCTGTGTCCCCACCGAAATCTTATGTTGAATCGTAATCCTCACATGTCGGGGGGACCTGGTGGGAGGTGACTGAATCATGGCGGTGGACTTCCCTCTTGCTGTTCTCATGCTATTGAGTGAGTTCTCACAAGATCTGGTTGCTTGAAAGTGTGTGGCACTTCCCCCTTCACTCTCTCTTTCTCTCCTACCACCATGTGAAGAAAGTCCTTGGTTCCCTTTCATCTTCCGCCATGATTGTAAGTTTCCTGAGGCCTCTCAGTCATGCTTCCTGTTAAGCATGCAAAACTGTGAGTGAATTAAACCTCTTTTCTTCATAAATTACCCAGTTTCAGGTAGTTCTTTATAGCAGTGTGAAAACGGACTAATGCAATACTCAACAACAAAAAACAAACAAACAAACATTTAAAAATGGGCAGACGACTAGAATAAACATTTCTCCAAAGAAGACCTACAAATAGCCAATAAATACATAAAGAGATGTCCAACATCATTAGTAGATAGAAAAATACAAATCAAAACCACGAGATACCATGTCACACCTACAAAGATGGCTATACAAATAATAATAAAAATAATAATTGAAAAATAATAAATACTGGTGAGAATGTGGAGAAATTGGAACGTGCATTAAGGGTGGAAATGTAAAATGTGGTGCAACTGCTTTGTAAGATAATTTGGCAGTTTCTCAAATAGTTAATCTTAAGACTACCAAATGACTCAGCAATTCCTCTCCTAAGTATGTATAGAAAACAATGGAAAGCAAGGACTAAAGCAGGTATTTGTGTACTAATGTTCATATCAGCATTATTCATAACATCCAAAAGGTGGAAGCAATCCAAGTGTCCATCAACAGATGGATAGATAAAGAATATGTGGCATTGTGATGGAATACTATTCAGCTATAAAAAGAAATAAAATTTTTATATTTGCTACAACATGAATGAACCTTGAAAATATTATGCTTTGTTTAATAAGGCAGATATAGCAGGACAAATATCATACAATGCCATGTATATAAGGTACCTAGAGTAGGCAAATTTACAGACAGAAAGTAGAATCAAGCTTACTAGAGGATAAGGAGTGGGGAAATGGGTACTTATTGATTAATGACTACAAAGTTTATGTTGAGGATAATAAAAATTTTTGGTGTAGGGGCCAAGTACGGTGGCTCACACCTGTAATCCCAGCACTTTGGGAGGCCGAGGCAGGCGGATCACGAGGTCAGGAGATCGAGACCATCCTGGCGAACATGGTGAAACCCCGTCTCTATTAAAAATACAGAAAAATTAGCCGGGCGTGGTGGCGGGCGCCTGTAGTCCCAGCTACTCTGGAGGGTGAGGCAGGAGAATGGCATGAACCCAGGAGGTAGAGCTTACAGTGAGCAGGGGTCGTGCCACTGCACTCCAGCCTGGGCGACAGAGCAGACTCCGTATAAAATATATATATATATATATATATATATTTTTTTTTTTTGGTGTAGATAGTAACAATAGTTATATAACATTGTAAATATATATTTAATGCTACTGAACTGCATACTCACAAATGGTTACAATGATAAAAAGTATGTTATGTATATTTTACCACAATAAAAAATAGAAAAAAATAATGGCATCACCTTGTAGAATGTTTAAGATAAAAAATGAAATTTTATTAACAGCAGAATAAAAAGAGAGGAAGGAAAATAAAGTAAAAGAGTCTTCTAATGCTCCTTTATCATTTGGTATGAGGTCAAGATACAGATTAACTGAGACACTGATCAATTAAGTGCTGTAGTGCTCAATTTTATGTGTTCAACTTTACTAGGCCACATGGTGCCCAGACATTTGGTCAAACATTATTCTGGATGTGTCTGTGAGAGTATTTCTGGATAAATTAACATTTGAATCAGTAGACTGAGTAAGGCAGATTGTGCTCCCCAATGAGAATGGGCCTCATTCAATCAGCTGAAGGCCTAAATAGAACAAGAAAGCTGACCTTTTCTTTCATGCCTGACTGTTGGAGCTGGGATATGCATCTTTTACTGCCTTCAGACTTGAACTGAAAAACGGATTCTTTTTAGGTCTCAAGACTGCTGGCTTTCAGACTGTGTGTGTGTGTCCTGTTGGTTCTGTTTTTCTGAACAATATGGATATTAATATAGTATCTATGTTATAATTATTACAATAAAAATAAAAATATTATACAACTTCTAAATTACAAGGGGGGAAATTAGATAAGAAAATATAAACAACCTAAGATAAAAGAAAATGGAACATGGATAAACTACGAACACAGATATAATGGAAAATACACACCTATATATATCAGTAATTGTTTTAAACATAAACTGACTAAACTATTTATTTTAAAGTAAAAATGAACAGACTATAACACAAAACCCAATTTGCTCCTGTTTTCACAAGACATATATAAAACATTAGGATACAGAAAGGTTAATGATTTAAAAAGTAAAAAGGCATACCAGGAAAATATTAACCATAAAAGCTAATATAGACATGTTATTATTAGGAAGATAAAATAATTATAATATATATACATCTAATTACCTAGCCTCAACACTCATAAATAAAAACATCCCTAGAACTACAAAGAAAATCCTCTACTCTGATTATTTTTCTTTTTAACACATTTTTATCACTAATTAATAGAAGAAACTAAGAGGATTTAGAAGATTTGAACCTCATAAAACTGTCACTCAGTCAAATGCTGCCAAAATACACATCATTTTCAAGCACATACAGAACATTTATTTAAAAAGAAGCACACACTGAACCATAAATAAAATCTCAACAAATTTCAAATGATGGAAAATCTACAGATATTTTCTGATAAGGAAGCCATTAATCTGGAGAAAAATAAAAACATCAAAAATATCTAGAAAAATATGGAAATTAATAAACACGTATTTCATTTACCCATAAGTCAAAAAGAAATCTAAAAATAAGTAGAAAATATACAGATGTCTATAAGAATAATTAGTTCAAAATTACTGTAGGAAAATATATACAGTACATCTCTCTAATAAAAAAATTTACAATAAAAATCCCCTCCACGAGATGGGCCAGCCGAGATAGTCAAATAAAAATAACAAAAGATATCCAGATTGAAAAAGAAGAAGTAAAACTATCTCTACTTATACATGACCTAAGTTTTGTATACAGATAATTCAAAAGAACACCCCGGAAAACTATTAGAACTAATGAGTTCAGCAAGTTTGAAGGATAAAAATCAATATTAAAAATTAATTTTATTTTTATATGTTAACAATGAACATTCAGTGAATGAAATTAAGAAAACAATTTCATTTGACATGTGAGGTAATTCAGGAATAGAAAACCAAATACCACATGTTCTCACTTATAAGCTAAGCTATGGGTAGGCAAAAGCATACAGAATGTTATGATGAACATTGGAGACTCAGAAGGGGAAGGGATAAAAAACTACTTACTGGGTACAATGTACACTCCTCAGGTGTCAGGTGTACTAAAATCTCAGACTTCACCACTACACAATTCATCCATGTATCCAAAAACCACTTCTACCCCTAAAGCTACTGAAGTAAAATATATATATATATATATATATATATATATACACAATTCCATTTGAAATGACATCAAAAAGAATAAAATACTAAGGTATAATTTAACAAAAGAATTGCAAGATTTGTATACTAAAAACTACAAACCAGTTTTAAAAGAAATTAAAGATCTAAATAAATGGAAAGATATTACCTAGACAATATTTTTGTTGTTGTTGTTGTTGTTGTTTGTTTGTTTGTTTTGAGGCAGAGTTTCACTCTTGTTGCCCAGGCTGGAGTACAATGGCACAATCTCGGCTCACTGAAACCTCCCCCGCCTCTCGAGTTCAAGCGATTCTCCTGCCTCAGCCTCCCAAAGACTTAATATTGTTAAATGACCATACTTTGTAAGCTGATCTACAGATTCAACACAATCTCTATCAAAATCTTAGCTAGCTCTTTTTCAGAAACTGACAAACTGATCTTAAAAGTTCTGAAAATTCAGGGACCAAGAATCCCCAAAACAATTTTGAAAAAGAATAAATTTAAAGGATTCCCGTTTAATGATTTTAAAACATAACACAAAGCTATAATAATAAAAACAGTGTAGTATGGCCATAAGAATAACACATAGATCAGTAGAACAGAATTGAGAATCTAAAAATAAATTATTATATTTATAGCCAATGAATTTTTCAGAAGGGTTCTAATAAAAGTGCTTGGAGAAAGAAGAGCCTTTTCAACAAATGTGGCTAGATAACTCAATGCCCTATCTCACACCATACACAAAAAGCTTATTCAAAAAGATTAAAAGCCTAAGTATAAGCATAAAAATCTGTAAAACTTTTAGAAGAAAATAGAGGAGTGAAATTTTCTGACCTTGGGTTTAGGCAAAGATTTTTAAGGTACAACAGCAAAAGCACGAGCAATGAAAGAAAAAATAAATTCGACTTCATCAAAATTTAAAAGTTTCGTGCTACAAACGATACCATCAAAAAAAGACAAAACTTGCAGAAATGAATAAAATATTTGCATGCCATATATCTGATAAGGGTCTTATATCCAGAATATAAAGGAATCATACCACTCTCAATAGTAGCAAGGCAAATAAACCAAATACAATATAGGCAAAAGATTTAAATAGGCATCTCTCCAAAGAAGATGTACAAATATCCACAAACATATGAAAATTGGCTCAACATCACTATTCATTATGGAAATGCAAATCAAAATCACGTCTACAAAGACAGCTATAATCGAAAAGGCAGACAGTAAAAACTTTTGGCAAGGATTTGAAGACATTTAAACCCTCACACACTGTTGATAAATATGTGAAATGATGCAGCCATTGTGGAAAACTGACAATTCCTCAAAAAATTAAACATAGAATTACAATACGATTCAATAATTCCACCATTAGGTGTGAAACATGTTCACACACACACAGACACAAATGTGTACATGGGCCAGGCGCGGTGGCTCACGCCTGTAATCCTAGCACTTTGGGAGGCCGAGACAGGCAGATCATGAGGTCAGGAGTGTGAGAGCAGCCTGGCCAATATGGTGAAACCCCATCTCTACTAAAAATACAAAAATTAGCCAGGCATGGTGGCACGTGCCTGTAGTCCCAGCTATTTGGGAGGCTGAGGCAGAAGAATCACTTGAACCCAGGAGGCAGAGGTTTGCAGTGAGCAGAGATCATGCCACTGCACTCCAGCCTGGGCGACAGAGCAAGACTCTCTCAAAAAAAAAAAGTGCACATGAATGTTCATAGCAGCATTATTCCTAATAGCCAGAAGTTGAAACAACCCAATGTCCAAAATGCCCATTTATCCTGATGAATGGATAAGTAAAATGTGGTACATAAATACAATGAAAGATTATTCTGTCTTAAAAAGAAATGAAGTATTGATATAGGCTACAACATAGATGAACCTTGAAAGCATTATACTAAGTAAAAGCAGCCAGCCACAAAAGACCATATATTGCATGGTTCCAATTCTATTAAATGCCCAGAATAAGCAGGTAGATTAGTGGTTACTTCGGGTAGAGAGGTGAGGAGTTGGTGAAGTGGGGAAGGAGAGGAGAATAGCAAGTGACTGCTAACGAGCATGGGGTTTCTTTTAAGGGAAATAGAAGTATTCTAAAGTTGAATAATGGTAATGGTTTTACAAAACTGTGAATATAGTAAAAAACATTAAATTACATACTTTAAATGGGTGAATATTATGGAATGTAAAATTATATCTCAATAAAACTGTTTTTTTAAAAAACCTTTTCTTATAGAACATATCTTCCCACCTTTCATTATAAAAACTCAGTGCTTAGGCAGGAACTAAAAGGAACTCTGTGTTTGTTTAATGTGTGATTGGGCTTAGGGAAAAGTACTGAATGAGCACAACAGATTGTAACATCAGTTACTTACGGTTTACCCAAATTTTGTATACGTATAATCCAAAAGAATACCCCAGAAAACGATTCCTAATAAATGAGTTCAGCAAGTTTGAGGGATAAAAATCAATATTAAACAATTAATTGTATTACTATACACTCGCAGTGAGCACTAAGTGAATGAAGTTAAGAAAACAACTCCATTTGAAATGTGAAGTAACTCAGAATAGAAAACCAAAACCATATATTCTCACTTATAAGCTAATATGGGTAGGCAAAGGCATAGTGTGGTATAAAGGACACTGGAGACTCAGAAGCGGGAGGGGAGAGCGGATGTAAAAACAGGAAATAGGATAGAAGAGGGGTGTAGAATAATTTTTGTTTGTTTGTTTGTTTTTTGAGACGGAGTCTCCTTCTGTCGCCCAGGCTGGAATGCAGCGGCGCGATCTCGGCTCACTGCAAGCTCTGCCTCCCAGGTTCACGCCATTCTCCTGCCTCAGCCTCCCGAGTAGCTGGGACTACAGGCGCCCGCCACCGTGCCCGGCTAATTTTTTTGTATTTTTAGTAGAGACGAGGTTTCACCGTGTTAGCCAGGATGGTCTCGATTTCCTGACCTCGTGATCCGCCTGCCTCGGCCTCCCAAAGTGCTGGGATTACAGGCGTGAGCCACCGCGCCCGGCCGAATAACATTTTTTTAATCATGTAGAAAAGAGAAGATATACACAGAATGTTAACTGAACAGGAAGAATATAAAATTCCGTGTATAATATCTGCAAGTGTAAAAATGTGCAGAAACAAAAAGCGTACAGTGTATGCCCTATTAAAATAATTCTATAGCAAGCTGGCTGGTTTCGTTTGGTTACAATTCAATTATTAGCTGGACAAAAACTGAGTTTTTTGGCCTATTCATGTAAGATCTTTGTTAAGAGGCATATACCATGGAAGTTTTTTTCTCTAAAAGGTTTAAAACCCAAAAGAGTATATGTAGATTCAAGAGAGCAGATAGGAAGCATGCCTTTCATTCTACTTACCCCTGAAATGCCACTAAGATGACAATAAGGGGGTTGTCTTTGTAAAAAACATAATAAACCCATAAGGATGAAAGAAGAGAAAACAGGAACTTGGGGATCTGGAAAAAAAGATGGATATGTGCCATTGACTTAGTAGTTTATATCACGTGTAGAAGAGGTTCGAATTATATGAAATGGTCCCACTCCCAAAGTTCAGGAATTGATGACATTAGGTACACTTGAGAGAAAGGACCATGTAAAGGACATTGCCAGGAGTCACATTACCAGGTCCCCCTCCCAGCTCTAGATAACTGCCTTTCCCCCAACATGTGTCCCATCTCAGGTCCTCTCAACCCCCTTTGACTTCAGCCATGGCTGCACTACCCTGAATGCTTTCTGCAATGAGCTTTACTGAAATTTCTCAGGACACAGCACACAGGTCTGCATAACCTGGGAGTGGAGAGGCATTAACTCCAAAGAAACAACCTGCTTCTGTTGGAGGACAATAGCCATCAAGAGGATGCATTTCATGTAGCTTCTCAAACAGTTCCAGCAGTATTCAGCCCTATCTGCAGAGGTGAGCCCCTATGTAATTTTTTTTTTTTTTTTGAGACAGAGTCTTGCTCTGTCGCCAGGCTGGAGTGCAGTGGCACGATCTTGGCTTACTGTAATCTTCTCCTCCTGGGTCAAGCAATTCTCCTGCCTCAGCCTCCCAAGTAGCTGGGATTACAGTCACCTGCCACTACACCCGGCAAATTTTTGTATTTTTAGTAAAGACAGGGCTTCACCATGTTGGCCAGGATGGTCTTGATCTCCTGACCCTATGTATTTTTTAATTGGCTTTTCCTTCTCTCTGTCATGTTCTCCAGGCCCTCACATTACTGTTTCCTACAGTCACTTCCCAAATAAAATAAAATGCCTACATACCTTTGTACTAGGCTCTGTTTTTAGAGAAAACCCAGGTTAAGAGAAATTTGGTTTAAATATTAGTAATAATGTATAAAAATAAAGTATAGCCCCCCAAACAAGCAATCATTAATCCCAAAGGAAAGAAAATGCTGTTCTTGAAAGGAAGAGTAATCATAGTACCACACACAGCTAAACTTAAAGTAGCAGGTGGGCAGTCATCACAACAAAGGCTGAGTGGTAATCTTACCTCACTGTTGTATGAGAAGATTAGATTGCTGCAAGAATGTGGATGAGAAGTGTGGATAGCTGTTGTATGGTACAATAAGAAACATCCCATGCCTGTAAGATTAATGATGGCCATAAAGCCCACTCAAACATCTCATGGGGTCTACACTATGTTTCACTTAGCAGTATGATGTAACCTGGCCTGGGGATTTCCAGCCCTGGCCGGGAGATGATTACTGGGTCCCTATGAAAATAAGACCTAAAAACCCTGATTGCCTAGGCCACCTCAGCACATATGCCACTTTCATGAATCTTAAAACAAAGCTTACCCTTATATGATTAAAATTCCTCTATGAAAGAAACACCTAATGACTGAAGCCAGATTAAATACAGGAATAAAAAAGGAGGAAGAATCCCCCAAACAATGAGAACAGTCTGTGGATGAAGACCCTCCCCATCAGGTGGTCATCTGACCCTGACTGTATCTGGCCTGTGCCGCCGGCCTGCTCCCGCTATCCCTCTCGTAAGAGCACTGCCAGAATGAACTGCTGGAGCATCAGACAGTGCTGAAGACTCACCTTGGATGCTGAATGAACAGAAGGCGAACAGCTGCGTCTGGAGAAGCTGGTTCACTAGGACCACCCGAGACTACTGAAGATCAGCTTCAGTAGTATCCAGTTATCAAACTGGATACAAGAATGAGATTTGTGTAAGCAAATGAGTAACCACACCCATTCTCACGGGAAAAGCAGGAGGGTAGAAAGGTGAAAAAAAAAAAAAACTTTCAGAAATACCCAAAATTAATATGTGTTAACAGGTTGCCACTGCTTCATTGTCCAGAGTTGGGGCAAGTCGTTTATCCATGATCCCAACTTTTCTGCTGGAATACAAAAAGAGTAATTATTGGCTGGGCATGGTGGCTCATGCCTGTAATCCCAGCACTTTGGGAGGCCGAGGTAGGTGGATCGCGAGGTCAAGAGATGGAGAACAGCCTGGCCAACATGGTGAAACCTCGTCTCTACTAAAAATACTAAAATTAGCTAGGCGTGGTGGTGTGTGCCTGTAGTCCCAGCTACTCGGGAGGCTGAGGAAGGAGAATCCCTTGAACCTGGGAGGCGGAGGTTGCAGTGAGCTGAGATCATGCCACTGCACTCCAGTCTGGTGACAGAGCAAGATTCCATCTAAAAAAGAAAAGAAGAAAGAAGAAAAAAGAAAGAAGAAAGGAGAAGAAGACGAAAGAAGAAGAAGAAGAGGAGGAAGAGGAGGAGGAGGAAGAGGAGGAGGAAGAGGAGGAAGAACAAGAGGAGGAAGAAGAAGGAGGAGAAGAAGAGGAAGAAGAATTATTGTGAAAAGGTTATATTGTGAGTATAAAGAGTAATTATTTTGAAAATATTTTCTCACTTTCCATTTTATCTTTTAACTGTCTGCAAGAAAGATAGAAAATGGCACAAACCTAAATCATTCTCTCTGCTCTCCATCATCTATCTACTCTCCATATTACTCAAGAGTACTGCTTCAAGCCTTTTAAAATTCTGTATTCCAAAGAGAACCAGCTTCCAAAATATGAGTTGTCAGGTCCTCTGAGTCTTGTTTGACATTTGACAACATCGGATACATTCCTCCAATGGCAACAGACAAGTGCAATCTTTTTAGGAAAAATAACCCATGTCTATTTTTGTTGTAGCTGAATTTTTGCATCCTCTTTTTTACCAGAAAAGGGATCTTGATACAAACCCCAAGAGAGTGTTCTTGGATCTTACACAGGAAAGAATTCAAGGTGAGTTGCAGAATAAAGTGGGAAGGGAGAGTTTATTGAAAGCCTCTAGGTTATAGAGTAAGGTATCCTCAGAAAGCAAGAACAGGAATGCCCCATCTTTGTTTTAAGTTTTTCTTACATATACATCTTCTTTATGTAAAGAATAAACTAAGCTTTGCCTATGTGCAGGTGGACTGACAGAATGACAAAATTTATTATTCTATTGATTTAAAGAAAACGATCCTTGACATTTTAGTGTACGAGTACATCAAAGCGTAACTACAACTATCTTGAAAGCATATATTGTTATGGGCATTGGGACATCTGGACTGCCTGTTATTGTAGGAGTTTGTCCTTGCAGGCATTACCACACTCTTTCCTTGGATGTGAACATGTTAGGACCATGAGTCATGACTGGCAAGGAATGCACCCTGCTAACTTGAAGACGGAGCTGATGTTAAAATGGTGTCACTCGGGCTCTCCTAGGCTTCTGCTTCCCTAACGCCCTTGAGGTGACTATTTTATTCTTGAGTATAAACTGTCAAATGCAAAAAGAAATGAAAGCATGTTCTGAAAATAGGATCCACTCTGTGGAATATACCCAAGTCATTTTCCTTCCTCATTCCCATGACCCGGATTCTACAGTTCCCACAGCAGAGCTGCCTGGACACTGGCCCTTCTAAGCCCACTTTCATTGATCTTTTTTATTTTTTATTTTTTATTACAACCATTGAATAGCCTCACACCTCACATTTTCAGGCAGTGAGCTCTGCTTTTTTGCATCTAGTGTGGGTTGATTTCCCATCTCAACATTAATCCCAAACTTTGTAAAGTACCTTTGTAAGGTGAGGCAGAAAGGCCGATTTCATCAGTTAGCCCAGGTACTCAAAGAAAATGTAGGCATTTATTTCTAAAACAATTGTATATGTTTAGGAAGGTAACTTTTGGATACAGTTACTGTCGACCTCAAACAATACTTGCCTGAAATCTCGTTGCATATTGACTACAGGGAATCAGACACTCCAAAGTTTGGGAGATGATGGTCCTGAACTCTAACAGGAATGATTTAGGTTGGTGTCATTTTCTGTCTTTGTTGCAGACAGTTAAAAGATAAAATGGCCTGGGTGCAGTGGCTCACACCTGTAATCCCAGCACTTTGGGAGGCCGAGGCAGGTGGATCAGGAGGTCAAGAGATTGAGACCATCCTGGCCAACATGGTGAAACCCCGTCTCTACCAAACACACACACACACACACACACACACTAGCTGGGCGTGGTGGCACACACCTGTAGTCCCAGCTACTTGGGAGGCTGAGGCAGAAGAATTGCTTGAACCTAGGAGGAGGAGGTTGCAGTGAGCCGAGATTGCACCACTGCACTACAGCCTGGTGACAGAGCGAGATTCCATCTCAAATAATAATAATAATAAATAAATAATAAAATGGAAAGTAAGAAAATATTTTCAAAAGGTTATATTTTCTAGCAAACAATAAATGGATTAACTTGAACTCTCCAGAGTTACAAAAGGCAGGGAGCTCTCCATTGCTGAATGTGTTCCAGAAGAGGCTGGAAACTGAATAGAAAATTCATGAATCGGCTGGGTGCGGTGGCTCACGCCTGTAATCCCAGCACTTTGGGAGGCCGAGGTAAGCAGATCACAAGGTCAGGAGATCCAGACCATCCTGGCTAACACGGTGAAACCCCGTCTCTACTAAAAAAATACAAAAAAAATTAGCCAGGCGTGGTGGTGGGTGCCTGTAGTCCCAGCTACTCAGGAGGCTGAGGCAGGAGAATGGCTGAACCCAGGAGACGGAGCTTGCAATGAGCCGAGATCGCCCTACTGCACTCCAGCCTGGGCGACAGAGCGAGAATCCGTCTCAAAAAAAAAAAAAAAAATTCATGAATCAAAAGTGCAGTTGTGCTTCTAGCACATTAAAGCCTCTTCTAATCTCAAGACTGAAAAGTTAACAAAACCTAACAATTTCATGGGTGAGAAACAAGCGACTCCTATGAGAAAGTAATTGGTAAAGTGGGGAGAGCCATGCAAATAAAATATACTCTTGTCACCATTCAAGGTCACTCCAAACCATAAGCCTATTCTGGAGGCTCCTGGATTAACTACAGAAATTAAAAATGGACAAATGCTTTCCCCACCTACATGCACAGATTAAATCGAGTGTTTCGAAGCACCAAACAGAGGCATTTCTTTCTCTCTCCTGTTTTTGTTTTTGGCATCAGCTTCCATTCTCCCTACTTTTCCAGCCATGTTCCTCAAGCAGGAACTCAGGGAGAGGCCTCCTCCCTTTGGTTGATGAGTGTGATGAATGCGATGGGGTGACTCCTACCGGACCCCAACATGATTGTCTTTGATTACAAGCTTCCACTGCTTTTTTAAAAGGGGGAGCTAAAAAATTGAATACACTTTCCTTGTTATCCAAAAACATCAGGATGGGCAAGAACAGCAGAGCTGCCCCATGAGGTGAGGCCAATCTTCCCACCTTATCTGTCAGTCACTTTTCTCATTAGAAGCACTGATTGTCTTAGGAGTGCAGGCTTATTTCCTTCTGGGTTATGATCTCTTCAATCTGACAATCTGCAGGAGATTTCTTAAGAACCTAATTGATTTACTGAACATGACACGTAAAATTTAACAGCCCAAATAATCAAAATGTTTTTGTGAGCTAAGCAGGATAATATCATTTTTTTAAAAAAGTCTGGTTATAGTACTTCTTATTGTAAAAAAACAGTTGACATATGCTGTTTTTTATATTTCAAAGCAATGTTGTTTTAAAGAGAAATTTAATATGTCTTCCATAAAGAATGATACTGTAGGGGTGGGGAGAGGAAACTGGAGAAGGAAAGCAAAGTTGAGAAGTTTATTCAGTTTATTCAATACAGAAGCTAACACACGGTTTTATTATTTCACATACGAGTGTGATAATGGCAAGAATTCCAGGATGCAGCGGCTGGACCGCCTGCTCAGTCTCACAAGGCTGAAATAAAGATGTAAGTTAATGTTTTCTTCCCTAGACCCCAGGCTCCTCTTCCAAGCTTACTCCTGCTATTGGCAGGATTAAATTCCTGGCATTGGAGGACTGGGGTCCTGGTTTCCTTGTTGGCTGCCAGCCAGGACCTGTCTTGCACCCTTCAGGCCACCCTCATTCCTGCTCTCTTGGCTCCCTCCGTTTCTGAACAGCAGTACACACTGCGTCATTCTCATACTCTGAATCTCTCTGACTTCTTCTACCAGTCAAAAAAAACACTCTGCTTCGAAACTGTGTGATGACATTAAGCCCACCAGATAGTGTCCCTACTCTACAGTCAACTGTGCCATATGACACAACATAGTCATGGGATTCCCTATTCTTGTGGGCTCTGAGGGATTCGGGTATGAAATCATGGGATCACATTGCGAATTCTGTCTACCACACATACGTAGAGAAAATATTTATTGGTTCATTTTATTTCTTATCAGATTTTTCTTTCTTCTCAATGAAATCAATATTTACTGTGCAATTGTGATACACCCCGCATGGATCAAGAGCTCTGCAGGAAAACTCCCACTGATGTATTTTACTGCCACCACCACAGTGCATACTCACAGATCACAAAATAGACCTCAGCAAATGTATTATAAAATGTGACCCAACAGGCTGGGCACGATGGCTCACTCCTGTAATCCCAGCACTTTGGGAGGCTGAGGTGGGCGGATCACGAGGTCAGGAGATCCAGACCATCCTGGCTAACACGGTGAAACCCCTTCTCTACTGAAAATACAAAAAATTAGCCGGGTGTGGTGGCGGGTGCCTGTAGTCCCAGCTACTCTGGAGGCTGAGGCAGGAGAATGGCGTGAACCCAGGAGGCGGAGCTTGCAGTGAGCCGAGATCCAGCCACTGCACTCCAGCCTGGGAGACAGAGCGAGACTCTGTCTCAAAAAAAAAAAAAAAAAAAAAAAAAAAAAAGCAGAACTGCTCACAGCTGTCCTAAAACCTCCTGATTGCCCATCAAAGCCTCCACATGTGCCTCCACCAGGAAAGTGTGTTCTTTCCACATGCTTGCTGATATCACAGACTTAACCTTCAACCTCAGGCTCTGAGGTTCACCCTGTCCTTCATCTTCATTTCACTGATCAACTCACGTTTCTCCTTTACTCCTATATGTGGAGTCCTATATGTGGAGTCCTATCATGACACGCATGTTCCCATGTGTCATGACAGGACTCCACAGGACATGAGAGCTGTTTAACAAGACTGTGCTGGGCAGGCTGGGCGTGGTGGCTCACGCCTGCAATCCCAGCACTTTGGGAGGCCAAGGCAGGCGGATCATGAGGTTAGGAGATGGAGACCATCCTGGCTAACACGGTGAAACCCCATCTCTACTAAAAAAAATACAAAAACAAAATTAGCCGGGTGTGGTGGCGGGCTACTTGGGAGGCTGAGGCAGGAGAATGGCATGAACTCAGGAGGTGTAGCTTGCAGTGAGCTGAGATGGCACCACTGCACTCCAGCCTGGGTGACAGAGGGAGACTCTGTCTTAAAAAAAAAAAAAAAAAAGACTCTGCTGGGCAGTAGTGATGCTTGTGCATAGGCAAGCCTGCATTTCCCAGCCCTTAACATTAGGCAGGGCCTCATGACTAGTTCTGATCAATGAAATGTGAGCAAAAGTGAGGCCAATGCTGTCAAAGTCCCAGTGTGGTTCTCTGTTCTCTTTCTCCTGCTGCAGCGACCAGAAAGGCCACAAATTCCACCAGAAGCAGTGACAAGAGGATGGAGCCGTTGTCAGCCTAGACTCCTGAGTGTCAGTGTGAAACAGAGCTCCCCATCCACCCTCACTGGACATCTAGCATGAATGAGAAATAATCCTTTTTTTTTTTCTTTTTTTTTTTGAGACGGAGTCTTGCTCTGTCACCCAGGCTAGAGTGCAGCGGCAAAATCTCAGCTCACTGCAACCTCTGTTTCCCAGGTTCAAGCAATTTTCCTGCCTCAGCCTTCCAAGTAGCTGGGATTACAGGCGCCCGCCACCACACCCGGCTAATTTTTGTATTTTTAGTGAGAAGGAGTTTCACCATGTTGGCCAGGCTGGTCTCAAACTCCTGACCTCATGATCTACCCGCCTCGGCCTCCCAAAGTGCTGGGATTACAGGCATGAGTCACTGCGCCTAGCCCCTTTGTTGTTTTAACCTACAGAAATTTTGAAATTGCTTTACCAGTGCTTAATGTAAATTGTCCCGATTAAAATAAAAACTAAAGAACAGTATTTAAATGTGACATAATCAAGCATTCTCTTTTACCTATGGAAATATTTTAAGTGAATTCTGATAATCCACAATTCATGTAATGTTTTAAATTTTAAATTTCAGTTTGTTTCACACTTCTCTGAAATACTTTTTTTCTCCATAGCTCAGCATACTGATTTTCACAAAGACATGTAATGTATACAGTAACATTTTAAACGTGGCTTTGAGAGATGAGATGAGAGGTGAAGCAGAGAGGTGCTAATGGCTCCAGTCACTGAGGGGCAGTGAGAAAGCAGTTCGAAGGGAGGAGGATGAGTGTGACGGTTACTGTCATGTGTCAGCTTGACTGGGCCACAGGATGCCCAGATAGTGGGTTAAACATTTCTGGGCATGTCTGTGAGGGTGTTTTCAAAAGAGGTATATATCTCATTAACTTTTTAATTGGCGTACTGAGTAAGGCAGATTGCCCTCCTCAATGTGAGTGGGCCCCATCCAATCCACTGAGGACTTGAATAGAACAAAAATGTCAGAGGAAGTGAGAATTCTGTCTCTGCCTTTCCCTGCCTGACTGCTTGATCCAGGACATTGCTTGGTTTCTGTCCTTGAACTCAGACTTACACCATCAGTGCTCCTGATTCTCAGGCTTTCGGACTCAGACTGGAACTATACCACCAGCTTTCCTGGGTCTCTGTCTTACAGACACAAGACAGAAGATTCTCAGCCTCCACAATTTCAGAAATGCCCCCAGTGAGTGCTGGAAATCTCTGATCAAGTGATTTCGGAGTGGTATACTGCCTAAGACTTCATTGTGTTGGAAAACCACTCACCATTACCCCTAGCAACTCAGTAGCAAATGTTGACTTCCTGTTTTCACAATCTTATGCTCTACTATAGAGGATATAGTAACTACCTAGAGGTTATAGTAACAGAGGGATGAATGCTCCCACCAGGAGACGCAACAACGACTCTACTGAACTGGAGGTTAAGAAAGTCACCTGGCCACTTTGGGTTACTCATGCCTCTGAATCAACTGGCAAAGAAGGGAGTTATTGTGCTGGTTGGGGTGATTAATCCTGACTACCAAGAGAAAATTGGACTACTATTCCACAATGGAGATAAAGAAGAGTATGTCTGGAACATAGGAGGTCCCTCGAGGCACCTTTCAATATTATCATGCCTGGTGGTTAAGGTTGATGGAAAACTACAACAAACCAATCCAGGCAGGAACACTCATGGCCTAGACCCTTCAGGAATGAAGGTTTGGGCCACCACGTAAAGCAAAGAGCCATGTAGTGCTAGAGGGCTTACCGGAGGAAACAGCAATAGTGAACTGTTAAAGGAAGAAGCTAATTATAAACACTAACTACAGCCACAAGACAAATTATAGAAATGAGAACTTTGTCACATATATATCTTTCTTTCTTTCTTTTTTTTTTTTTCCGAGACGGAATCTCTCTCTGTCGCCCAGGCTGGAGTGCAGTGGTGTGATCTCGGCTCACTGCAAGCTCTGCCTCCCGGGTTGACGCCATTCTCCTGCCTCAGCCTCCCAAGTAGCTGGGACTACAGGCGCCCACCACCATGTCCGGCTAATTTTTTTTGTATTTTTAGTAGAGATGGGGTTTCACCATGTTAGCCAGGATGGTCTCGATCTCCTGACCTCGTGATCTGCCCTCCTTGGCCTCCCAAAGTGCTGGGATTACAGGCGTGAGCCACCGCGCCTGGCCGTCATATCTATATATTTCTTATTTAATTATAAATACACTTGTGTGTGTGTGTATGTGTGTGCGGGTGTGTGCGTGTGTGTGTGTGTCCTATTGGCTTTGTTTCTCTGGGAAGCTCTAACACAAAGAGGGTAATATGGTAATATTGTGACACTGGTAAGTGGTACAAACATCAGAGGTGCCAGGCTTTTCAAGGGTAGAAAAAGAAGAAATGATTTGGAAGTCGTAATGAGGCCTATGGAATTGGAGGGGGGATGATGACTAGAGAGAGGCCAATTTTCAATTAAGGCAAGAAATGGGAGAGAAGGTTTAAGTAAAGGATGTCTATATGAAAACTATACTGATCAGGAATTCCACAGAGCACAGAGAAAGGGTTTGAAGAGGAGAAGACTGATGGAAGATGGAGTCAGATTGAGGAACATTCACAAAAGTGGTGAAGGGTAGGGGTGAGAGAGGGAAATTCCAGGAGCCTGTGACAGCGGTAGTGGGGGAGGTGAGGGTCCAGATCTGTTTTCATGGGGAAAGAGCATAATAGGTTTATCATTAATGTAAGTACCCAGCCTGCTGGTGTGGCTGCCTTATGGTAACTGTGCCCTCTAAAAGACCACGTCTCTCATAAGCACCAGGAGTGTTTTGAACATGGTAGGCAAAAACTATGAGTGTGTTAATTTGAATTTAATTTCTTAGCAAATTCTGTGAAAAGATGAAGATGATTAATTCCACTTTTTTTGTATTTTCTTGTGGGCAGGAAGATCCTCCCAACTGCATATCCTGCTGCAGTATTTCCTCCCCCTGTGAGCTCACAGGCTTCTTGGTGTAATAGAATGACTCTGTTACAATTCTGTTGGCTGGAGGTTTCACCTGAGTTTCACAGGGAAGGCCAGGAGGAACTTTTAGTCAAAGCAGCAGATGTTTTTCTTTCCTGTATGTAAGTAGGAGTTTGAGTGGATCTTGGGACCTCATTGCACAAATGAAGCCAACTGAGATGCTTAAATATATATAAACATATGTCAGATGATTTTAACTTTTTCCACACTGGGCCAGGAGACCTCCAAATCAAGGTAGCACAGCAAGTTCATGCTTCAAAATTTCCCTCTTCTTTGCAAACAACAATAATAAATAAATCAAAAGAGGACACTGTCAAACAGACAGCAGGTCCAAAATGCAAAATAAAATGCCTGTGCCTTGGGATAGATGTGTGGAGAAGGAAGGGAAAGAACAGAGAAAAAGAAATGCCCCAAACACTTACCAATTAAAATCCATTTATATGTTATTAGCCAACCAAATATAGTATGGGTATTTTTTTAGAACTCAATAAACAGAGACCCCTAGAGGTATTTTTTCCTTGGTAGGTCCTTCATAGTTTTATGACAACAGTGTCCCTCCGTGCCCTGCCAGTCCTAACTCACCTCAAAAATGTCTAAATATTTTCATGAACAAAGTACCTAATTCTGGCCATACCACTAATTTTATTCACTTGCTTTTACATTTCTGGGCCTCGGTTTCTTTCTCTAAATGAGGATATTGGACTAGAATTTTTAAATATTTTTGGAGCACTCTAATTTTATCTTTCTACTTTCATAATGATATTAAAATATTTCAAATATGCTTGAGATTCTCATGGTTGTTATTTATATGTATTCGTTTAAGTAAGAAGAAATATGGTAAAAGTATTAAATATACTACAATAAAATGATTGTTTTAGTATTCCCAAACAGACAACAAACATAATTACACTGCAAGAAACTCAAGTGAAATATAGATTTGAAATTATTACTAATCACATCCAAATTGAGATTAACTTCTTAAACATGTAGAGGAAAATCTTAATCTATCCAAATAAATAATATGCCTCTAGCAAGAAAAAAGACTTCATTTTGGGTTGAGTTTTACAGATTATTCCCTTACTTCTCCTTAGTCAATACCTATCTAAAGCAGATGCATCTGACTCATTTAAAGTATCCAGTCAGGAATATGAAGGCCAAATCCACATCTTCCAAGCATGAAGCAAGGAAATAAGGTATAATGATTTTCTGTCAATGAAGCTCATGCATGAAATAAAACTGGGACTCACCATGCAGACTCAAAGCACACAATGACCAAAGGGCCAGAGATCAATCCAAGGTGACTACAACACAGCCCACAATGAAAAAGTCAGGAAAGTGTCTCCGTAAATCCATGCAAAGAATGAGAAAAATAGGAGGTAAAATAAAACTGATGAGTAATAGTATTAAACTTTGCACAAGTCCTGGAAATACAGCACAGTACAACCATGGATCCAATTAGGGGCATCTGGGCTTTTCTCGCCTCTTGAGTTAGAATCAGTTAGAACAGCATTGGTTCACAAAAATTGCATACCTGGCCAAAAAAAGTAGCTCTTGGTAATTATTTCCAAATGGCTGGAGAAAAGAAAGAGGTAACATAAAACATGTGATTGAAGAGTACTGCAGCCTTGGGGCAGAAGGCTGTAAGGAAGATGGTGAATAGGACTTTCTAGCTCTTGCTCCCCTGCAGAAACATCAATTGGAACAACTATCCATGCATAAAACCACCTTCACAAGAACTAAGGAAACCAGGTAGGAGATTTCAGAAAGGATGCACTAAAGAGATAGAAAGGACAGTTGGAGTAGTAGCCTGACTGTAGCTGATCAGTAGCCCCAGACTTTGGACAAACCCCAACTCCAGGCTATCCCCCACAGACTCAGGCTCTAGGCCCACCCCAGGGCCAGGCAGCCAAAGGCTCTGGACTGCTTGCAGCACCAGGCTGGTCCCCATGGTCCCAGGATTCAGACCTACCCAAGAACCAGGCCAACCGCTACAGCTCTCATCTCCAAACAGGCACCCACAGACCCACTCTTCATATTTTCCCCTGCAGCCACACATTACAGCAGACCCACAGCCCAGTTTCTTCCTGGCAGACTCCAGCACTGGATTAGCCCCCATGGACCCAGGCTCCAAGATGACCCCTGTAGACTCAGGTTTCAGGCCAGCACCTGGAGCCCCCAGACAAAGGTCAACCCTAATGGTCCTAGACTCCAGGCCAACACCCACACACCCAGCCCCTAGGACAACATTGTTTAAAGAAATAATCACTAAAAAATTCTTAAACCTGGGGAATAATATCAAGGTATAAGGACCAAATGTCTCCAATCAGATTCTATCCAAACAAGACTATAACAAAATGTATTATAATCAAACTATCAAAAATCAAAGACAAAGAGAGAATCCTAAAAGCAGCAAGAGAATAGAAATAAATCACATATATGAGAGTTCCAATAAGGCTAGCAGCATATTTCTTAGCAAAAACCTTACATGGCAGGAGAGAGCAAGATGATATATTCAAAGCCTCAAAGAAAAAAATATGCCAACTAAGAATACTGTACCTGCCAAAGCAGTTCTTCACAAATAAAAGTGAGATAAAGACTTTTCCAGACAAATAAAAGCTGACTTGTCTCACAAGAAATCCTAAAGGAAGCTCTTCAGGCTGAAAGAAAGAAAAGAATGCTCATTGGTGTCATGGAAACATGAGAAAGTATAAAACTCACTGCTAAAAGTAAGTACACAGTCAAATTCAGAATATTCTAATACTGCAGTGATGGTAAGTAAATCATCTGTGTCTTTAGTATGAAGATTAAATAAATATGTATTAAAAATAATAGCTATAATAATTTGCTAAGGGATATACAATTAAAAATATAAATTATGACATCAAAGCATAAATTGGGGGCAAGGGGATGGAGTAAAAGTGGAGACTTTTTTCTATGTGATCAAAGTTAAGTTGTTACCAAATATAAACAGTCCGTTATAAGAGGTTTTATGTAAGCCTAATGGTAACTACAAAATAAAAACTTATAGTAGATACGCAAAGCAAAAATAAACAAAGTCAAAAATTGTTACAAGAAATGAATTAAGGTCATTATATATTGATAACTCATAAATTTATCAAGAATATAAAATACTTATAACTGTATAGATACCAAAAATCAGAACTCCAAAATACATGAAACAAACATCGATAGACTTGAAGGAAGAAGTAGATAGTACTACAATAATTGTTGGAGACTTCAATACCCCACTGCATTTGGCAAATTATATGCCCCATATCACTTGAATGTGGCCTGGCCTTGCCAAAGCTCATGTGGAAACTTGTTCCTCCATGTAACAGTGCTAAACGGAGGAGCCCACTGGGAGGTGTTTGGGTCAGTGGGTGTATCTCTCTCTCTCTTGCTTTCTTTTTCACCACGTGATCTCTTTGCACACGCCCACACCCCATCCACTTTCTGCCATGAGTGGAAGCAGCATGAGGGAGGCCCTCACTAGATGCAGCTGCTCAATCTTGAACCTTCAAGTCACCAGAATCATGGGCCAAGTAAACCTCTTCTCTTTATAAATTACCCAGTCACAGGTAGTCTGTTACAGCAACACTAAATGGACTCAAACAGTCACTTTCAATAACAGATAGAACATCTAGACAGAAGATCAATAAAGAAATAGAGGACTTGAAAAACACTGTAAATCAACAAGACCTAACAGACATATAGAAAATACTCCACCGAGGCCAGGCGCGGTGGCTCATGCCTGTAATCCCAGCACTTTGGGAGGCCGAGGCGGGCTGATCACGAGGTCAGGACATCAAGACCATCCTGGCTAACACGGTGAAACCCCGTCTCTACTAAAGAATACAAGAAAAAAATTAGCCAGGTGTGGTGGCGGGCACCTGTAGTCCCAGCTACTTTGGAGTCTGAGGCAGGAGAATGGCGTGAACCCGGGAGGCGGAGCTTGCAGTGAGCCGAGATCTGCGGCACTGCACTCCAGCCTGGGCGACAGAGCAAGACTACGTCTCAAAAAGAAAAAAAAAAGAAAATACTCCACCAAACAATTGCAAAATACACAAAGCACGTGGATCATGTGTCAGGGTAGGCCATAAAACAAGTTTCAATAAATGTAAAAAGATAAAGTTATGTAAATTATCTTCTCTGACAAATACAGAATGAAACTAAAAATCAATAACAGAAGAAAAACTAGAAAATTTACAAATATGTAGAAATTAACACAATTTTAAGCAGCCTATAGGTCAAATAAAAAGTTATAAGGGATATTAGAAAATATTTTGAGCCAAATGAAAATGAAAACATGATATACCCAAATTATGAATGTAGTCAAATCATTGCTCAGGCCAGGTGTGGTGGCTCACGCCTGTAATCCCAGCACTTTGGGAGGCCAAGGCGGGCAGATCACCTGAGGTCAGGAGTTTGAGACCAGCCTGGCCAACATGGTGAAACCCCGCCTCTACTGAAAGTACAAAAATTAGCCAGTTGTGGTGGCAGGTGCCTGTAATCCCAGTTACTTGGGAGGCTGAGGCAGGAGAATCGCTTGAACTTGGGAGGCAGAGGCTGCAGTGAGCCGAGATTGCGCCACTGCACTCCAGCCTGGGTGACAGAGCAAGACTCCGTCTCAAAAAAAAAAAAAAAAATTACAAACTATTTTATGCCAACAAGTTAGATAACCTAGATGAAATTAGCAAATTCCTAGAAACACACAATCTATCAAAATTGACTCGAGAATAGAAAATCTGAATAGACCTATAACAAGTGAAGTAATTCAATCAGTAATTAAAACTTACCACCAACAACAAAAAAGTTCAGGACCAGATAGCTTCTCTGATTAACTCTACCAAACATTTAAAGAGGGATTCACACCTATTGATATAATCGTATAGTTTTTAATTTTGTTTATGTGATGTATCACATTTATTGACTTGTGTATGTTAAACCATCCTTGCATCCCTGATATAAAACCCACTTGTTCATGATGCATTATCTTTTTCATATGCTGTTGGATTCAGTTAGCTAGTATTTTGTTGGGGATTTTTGCATCTATGTTCGGGGATATTGGTTTGTAGTTTGTTTGCTTTGTTATGTCCTCTCCTCCTTTTGGTATTAGGGTGATACTGGCTTCATAGACTGATTTATGGAGGATTCCCTCTTTCTCTATCTTTTGGAATAGTTCCAGTAGGATTGATAACCAGTTCTTCTTTGAATGTCTGATAGATTTCAACTGTTAATCCATCTGGTTCTCGATTCTTTTTTTGTTGGCAGTGTTTTGTTTTGTTTTTTTAATCACTGATCAATCTTGCTGCTTGTTATTGGTCTGTTCAAGGTTTCTATTTCTTCCTGATTTAGTCTAGGAGGGTTGTATATTTCCAGGAGTTTATTCATCTCCTCTAGACTTTCTAGTCTGTGCATGTAAAGGTGTTTATAACATCCTTGAATGATCTTGTGTATTTCTGTGGTATTGGTTGTACTATCTCCAGTTTCATTTCTACTTGAGGTTATATGAATCTTTTCTCTTCTTGGTTAATCTCCCTAATGGTCATCAACTTTGTTTATCATTTCAAAGAACCAGCTTTTCATTTCATTTATCTTTTGTATTTTTTGTTTCAATTTCATTTAGTTCTCTTCCATCTTTGTTATTTCTTTTCTTCTGCTGAGTTTCAGTTTAGTTTGTTCTTGTTTCTCTAGTTCCTTCAGGTATGACATTAGGTTTTCTATTTGTGTTCTTTCAGACTTTTTGACGTAGGCATTTAATGCTATAAACTTTCCTCTTAGCACCAGTTTTGCTGTATCCCAGAAGTTTTGATAAGTTGTGCCATTGTTCTCATTCATTTCAAAGAATTTTTAATTCCTATCTTGATTTCATTGTTAACCACCAAATCATTCAAGAACAGATTATGTAATTTCCATGTATTTATATCATTTTAAGTGTTCTTTCTGGAGTTGCTTTCCAGTTTTATTCCACTATGGTCTGAGAAAATACTTGATATGATTTCAATTTCGTTAAATTTGTTGGGACTTGTTTTGTAACCTATCATAGGTTATCTTGGAGAACGTTCCATGTGCTGATGAAAAAAAATGTATATCCTGCAGTTGTTGGGAAGAATGTTTTGCAATTTTCTGTTAAGTACATTTCTTCTAGGGTATAGTTTAAGTCCATTATTTCTTTGTTGACTTTCTGTCTTGATGACCTGTCTAGTGCTGTCAGTGGAGTATTGAAGTCCCCCACTATATTTGTACTGCTGTTTATCTCATTTCTTAGGTCTAGTAGTAATTGTTTTATAAATTTGGAAGCTCCAGTGCTAGGTGCATATAAATTTAGGATCATAATATCTTCCTGTTTGACTAATCCTTTTATCATTATATATAAATCCAGCATTCCTTTATAATAAAAACCTTCCTCAAAATAAGCATAGAAGGGACATATCTTAAAGTAATAAAAGCCATATATGACAAACCCATATGCAACATCATACTGAATAGGGAAAAGCTGAAAGCATTCCCCCTGAGAACTGGAACAAGACAAGGATGCCCACTTTTACTGCTTCTACTTAACACAGTACTGGAAGTGCTGGCCAGAGCAATCAGACAAGAGAAAGAAATAAAGGGCATCCAAACTGGAAAAGAGGAAGTCAAACTGTTGCTGTTCACTGCTGATATAATTCTATACCTAGAAAACCTTAAAGACTCATCTGAAAAGCTCCTAGACCTAACAAATGAATTCAATAAAGTCTCAGGATACAAAATAAATGTACATAAATCAGTAACACTGCTATACACCAACAGTGACCAAGCTAAGAATCAAATTAAGAATTCAATTCAGCCAGGCATGGTGGCTCATGTCCGCAATCCTCAGCACTTTGGGAGGCTGAGGCAGGTAGATCACCTAAGGTCATGAGTTCGAAACCAGCCTGGCCAACATGGAAAAACCCACTCTTTACTAAAAATACAAAAATTAGCCGGGCACATTGGTGGGCACCTGTAATCCCACCTACTCAGGAGGCTAAGGCAAGAGAATCACTTGAACCTGGGAGGCAGAGGTTGCAGTGAGCTAAGATTGCACCATTGCACTCCAGCCTGGGCGACAGAATGAGACTCCATCTCAAAAAAAAAAAAAAAAAAAAAAAAAAAGAATTCAATCCCTTTTACAACTGCAAAAGTAAAACAAAATACTTACAAATATATTTAACCAAGGAGGTGAAAGATCTCTACAAGGAAAACTACAAAACACTACTGAAAGATTCATAGATGACACAAACAAATGGAAACACATCCCACACTCACAGATGGGTAGAATAAATATTGTGAAAATGACCATACTGTCCAAAGCAATCTACAGATTCAATGCAATTCCCAACAAAATACCGTCATCATTCTTTATAGAACCAGAAAAAGCAATCCTGAAATTCATATGGAACCAAAAAAGAACCTGCATAGCCAAAGCAATACTAAGCAAAAAGAACAAATCTGGAGGCATCACATTACCCAACTTCAAATTATACTACAAGGCTAAAGTCACCAAAACAGCATGGTACTGGTATAAAAGTAGGCACATAGACCAATGGAATAGAACAGAGAACACATAAATAAAGCCAACATACTTACAGCCAACTGATCTTCAACAACACAAACAAAAACATAAATTGGGGAAAGGACACTCTCTTCAATAAGTGGTGCCGGGAAAACTGGGAAGCCACACATAGAAGAATGAAACTGAATCCTCATCTCTCACTTATACAAAAGTCAACTCAAAATAGCTTAAATCTAAGAAAACTTAGACTTAAATCTAAGACCTGAAGCCATAAAAATTTTAGAAGATAACATCAGAAAAAGTCTTCTAGACATTGGCTTAGGCAAAGAATTCTTGACTATGACCCCAAAAGCAATGCAACAAAAACAAAAATAAATACATGACACCTAATTAAACTAAAAAGCTTCTACAAAGTAAAAGAAATAATCAGCAGAGTAAACAGACAACCTACAGATTGGGAGAAAGTATTTGCAAATTATGCATTTGACAAAGGACTGATATCCAAAATCTACAAGAACTCAAACAAATCAACAGTAAAAAATAATAATAGTTCCATGAAAAAGTGGGCAAAGGACATGAATAGACAATTGTCAAAAGAAAATATACAAACATCCAACAAAGTGAAAAAAATGCTCAACATCACTAATTATCAGGGAAATACAAATTAAAACCACAATGAGATATCACCTTTCTCTTGCAAGAATGGCCATAATTAAAAAGTCAAAATACAATAGATGTTGGCGTGGATGTGGTGGAAAGGTAACACATCTACACTGCTGGTAGGAATGTAAACTAGTACAACCACTATGGAAAACAGTATGGAAAAACTAGTTTTCCACTGCGGAAAACACAGATTTTTTTTTTGGTTTTTTATTTTATTTATTTATTTATTTTTTGAGACAGAGTCTTGCTCTGTTGCCCAGGCTAGACTGCAGTGGCACCATGTTGGCTCACTGCAAGCTCCACCTCCCAGGGTTCACGCCATTCTCCTGCCTCAGCCTCCCGAGTAGCTGGGACTACAGGCACCCGCCACCATGCCCGGCTAATTTTTTGTATTTTTTAGTAGAGACAGGGTTTCACCGTGTTAGCCATGATGGTCTTGATCTCCTGACCTCGTGATCTGCCTGCCTAGGCCTCCCAAAGTGCTGGGATTACAGGCGTGAGCCACTGCGCCAGGCCGGAAAACAGTTTTAAAGGATCAAAAGTAGAACTACCATTCGATCCAGCAATCCTGCTATTGGGTAAGTACCCAAAGGGAAATAAGTCACTATATGAAAAAAGATACATGCACACACATGCATGTTGATAGCAGCACAATTTGCAGTTGCAAAGATATGGAATCAACCTAAGTGCCCATCAACCAATGAGTGAATAAAGAAAATGTAGTATATATACACCATGGAATACAACTCAGACATAAAAAGAAATAAAATAATGTCTTTTGCAGCAACTTGGGTGGAGTTGGGGGCCATTATTTTAAGTGAAGTAACTCAAGAATGGAAAACCAAATATCATATGTTCTCCCTTTTAAGTGGGAGCTAAGATATGAGGATGCAAATACATAAGAATGATATAATGGACTTTGGGGACTCAGGGGAAGAGTGGGAGAGGCATAAGTGATAAAAGACTACATGTTGGGTACAGTGTACACTGCTCAGGTGACAGGTACACCAAAATCTCAGAAATTACCACTAAAGAACTTATCCATGTAAGCAAAAACTACCCGTACCTCCAAAACTATTGAAATAAAAATACAAATTAAAAAACAATTAATATCTATCCTTCTCAAGCTCTTCCAAAAAATTGAAAAGGAGGGAACACTTTCTAACTTATTCTATAAGGACAGCATTACCCTGATATGAAAACCAGGGAAAGATATTCCAAGAAAAGAAAGCTACAGACCAATATCCCTTATGAATAAAGATACAAAAATCCACAACAAAATGCTAGCAAATAAAATCCAACAGCATATTAAAAGGATTTTATACCATATCTAAGTGGAATTCAGCCCAGGAAAGCAAGGATGGTCCAACATTAGAAACCCAATGTATTATATGACATTAATAGGATAAAGGTGTGTGGGGGCGAGGAGAAATTCAGGATCATCTCAACTGCAGAAAATGCATTCAACAAAATCTGCCACACTTTCATGATAAAAATCCTCAAGCCGGGCATGGTGGCTCACATCTGTAATCCCAGCACTTTGGGAGCCTGAGGTGGGTGGATCATGAGGTCAGGAGTTTGAGACCAGGCTGGTCAACATGGTGAAACCTCGTCTGTACTAAAAAAAAAAAAAAAAAAAAAAAATGAGCTGGGCTTGGTGGCAGGTGCCTGTAGTCCCAGCTACTCAGGAGGCTGAGGCAGAAGAATCACTTGAACCCGAGATGCGGAGGTTGCAGTAAGCCAAGATCGAGCCACTGTACTCCAACCTGGGCGACAAAGCTAGACTTCGTCTCAAAAGAAAAAAAAAATCCTCGTATAAAATTAGAAATTGAAGGGGAATTCCTTAACATAAAATAAGGGCATTTATGAAAAACCCATAGTCAAAATCATATTCACTGGTTAAAGACTAAAACTTTCCCCTAAGGTCAGGAACAAAACAAGGAGGACCCCTTTTACCACTTTCATTTAACATTGTACTGGAAGTTCTAGCCAGAGAAATCAGAAATGAAAAATAAATAAGAAGCATCGAAAGATCTCTATTCACTGATAAACCTAGATATAGAAAATCCCAAAGAATCCACTACTACAGCTAATAAACAAATTCAGCAAAGGTACAGCTGAACACAAAAATCACATGTGTTCTTAGAAAGGCGCAGTGAATAATTTAAAAACTAAATTAAGACAATTCCATTTATAATAGCATAAAAATGATTTAAAAAACCTCAAATTAAATGTTATCAAGGAAGTGAAAGTATTACACAATGAAAACTACAAACCATTGCTAAAAGAAATTAAAGAATACCTAAATAAATGGAAATATGCCTTGTGTTCATGGATTGGAAGACTTGATATTGCCACAATGGCAATACTTAAACAGATCTAGTTTCAATACAATCTATGTCAAAATTTGAATAGCCTTTTTGCAGAAATTGAAAAGCTAATTATCAAATATGTAAGGAATTGCAAAAGATCTCGAACAGCTAAGACAGTATTATTGAAAAAGAAGAGTAAAGTTGGAGAACTCACACTTTCTAATTTCAAAACTTATTACAAAGTTAACAATAATCAAAACAGTGTGGCACTGTTTATCCTTATGGATAAACATATAGATGAGAAAAATAGAATTGTGATTCCAGAAATAAGCCCATTCATTTGTGGTGATTAATTTTTGACGGGGTGCAAAGACCATTCAATGGGGAAAGAATAGTCTCTTCAACAAATAGTGCTTAGACAACCAAATAGCCACGTGCAAAAGAATGAAGTTGAACCCTTATTTCATACCATATAGAAAAACTAACTCAAAATGTATCAAAGACCTAAATGCAAGAGCTAAATCTACAAAACTCTTAGAAGAAAACCTATGGTTAAATCTTCCTGATCTTGAATCTGAGATTAGGTTCTCAGATACAGATTAGGTACATACATGTTCTTAGACATGACCCCAAAAGCATCAACAACAAATTAAGAAATATATAAATTGGGCTCCATCAAAATTTAAAACTTTTGTACACCAAATGATATTATTAGGAAAGTTTAAAAATAGCCTACAGAATGGGAGAAAAAAATTGCAAATCTCTAAATGATGTGTCTATATAAAGAACTTTAACTACTCAACAATAGAAAGACAAACAACTCAATTAAAATGAAATGGTCAAAGAGTTTATATAGGTATTTCTCCAAAGAAGATCTACAAATGGCCAACAAGCACATGAAAAGATGTTCAATATTATTAGTTATTAGAGAAATACAAATCAAAACCACGATGAGATACCACTTCACTACCAGGATGGCTATAATTAAAAAAAAATATTAAACACCAAGTGTTGGTGAAGATGTGGAGTAAATCATACATGGCTAGTGATGATGATGTTTGCGGAAAACAGTTTGGCAGTGGTCAAAAAGTTGAACATAGAATTACTATATGACTCAGCAATTTCACTCCTAGGTATATACCCCAAAGAAATGAAAACGAGTTCTCAAACAAATACATGTACATACATGTTCGAAAGAGCTCTATTCAAAACAGCCAAAAGTTGGAAACAACCCAGATGTCCGTCAACAGAGGAATGTATAAACAAATTATGATATACACATATAGTGGAATATTATGCAGCCATAAAAAGAAGTGGAGTACTGATAAATGCTATAACATGAATGAACCTCAAAAACATTATGCTAAATGAAAGAAGTCAGGCCCACAAAAAATTATACAGGGTTATTGTATAATTTCATTTATATGAAATATCCAGGATAGGTAAACCCATAGAACAGATCGGTGGTTGACAGAGACAGGAGGAGAGGACAGGTGGGATTTGACTGCTTACATGGTTTTATTTTGCAGTGATGAAAATATTTTGAAACTAAACAGAGGTGGTACTTCTATAACATTGTAAATATGCTCAGTGTTACCGAATTGTTCACTGTAAAATGGTTAACTTTATGTTACGTGAATTTTACCTCAATTTTTTTCTAAAAGCAAGACAAAATTATTTGCTGTATTATAAACATATAAAATTCGAAAGAGTTTGCTTTTTAAAAAAAGTAACCATTTACTGGTACCAAAACAGATATATAGACCAATGGAACAGAACAGAAGCCTCAGAAATAATGACACACATCTACAACCATCTGATTTTTGACAAACCTGACAAAAACAAGCAATGGGGAAAGGATTCCCTATTTAATAAATGGTGTTGGGAAAACTGGCTAGCCATATGCAGAAAACTGAAACTGGATCCCTTCCTTACACCTTATACAAAAATTAACTCAAGATGGATTAAAGACTTAAATGTTAGACCTAAAACCATAAAAACCCTAAAAACCCTAGAAGAAAACCTAGGCAATACCATTCACAACATAGGCATGAGCAAAGACTTCATGACTAAAAACACCAAAAGCAATGGCAACAAAAGCCAAAATTGACAAATGAGATTTAATTAAACTAAAGAGCTTCTGCATAGCAAAGGAAACTGTCATCAGACTGAACAGGCAACCTACAGAATGGGAGAAAATTTTTGCAATCTATCCTTCTGACAAAGGGCTAATATCCAGAATCTATAAGGAACTTAAAGAAATTTACAAGTAAAAATAAAAAACCCCATCCATCAAAAAGTGGGCAAAGGATATGAACAGACACTTCTCAAAAGAAGACATTTATGTGGCCAAAAAACATATGAAAAAAAGCTCATCATCACTGGTCATTAGAGAAATGCAAATCAAAACCACAATGAGATACCAAAACCACAAAGAGATTGCCAGCTAGAATGGCAATCATTAAAAAGTCAGGAAACCACAGATGCTGGAGAGGATGTGGAGAAATAGGGATGCTTTTACACTGTGGGTAGAAGTGTGAATTAGTTCAACCATTGTGGAAGACAGTGTAGCGATTCCTCAAGGATCTAGAACCAGAAATACCATTTGACCCAGCGATACCATTACTGGGTATATACCCAAAGGATTATAAATCATTCTACTATAAAGACACATGGAAATGTATGTTTATTGCAGCACTGTTCACAATAGCAAAGACTTGGAACCAACCCAAATGCCCATCAGTGACAGACTGGATAAAGAAAATGTGGTACATATACACCATGGAATACTATGCAGTCATAAAAAAGGATGAGTTCACATCCTTTTCAGGGACATGGATGAAGCTAGAAACCATCATTCTCAGCAAACTTACCCAGGAACAGAAAATGAAACACCCCATGTTCTCAGTCATTAAGTGGGAGTTGAACAATGAGAACACATGGACACAGGGAGGGCAACATCACACACTAGGGCCTGTCGGTGGGGGTCGGGGTGGGGGGCTAGGGGAAGGATAGCATTAGGAGAAATACCTAATGTTGATGATGGGGTGAAGGGTGCAGCAAACCACCATAGCACGTGTACACCTATGTAACAAACCTGCACGTTCTGCATATGTATTCAGAACTTAAAGTATGTGTGTGTGTGTGTGTGTGTGTGTGTGTGTATACAGTCACCATTGAAACTAATAAGAAAATTTTATCGCATGGCTAGAAACAGGTAAATTTTACAGAGCAACTTTCCTTTATGATGGAAATAATCAACCAGAAAATTGAAATAAGGAAAAAGATTATATTTGCATGTCAGAAAAACAAGAAAATACCTAGGAATAAACCTAATAAGATAGGTTCAAGGTCTGGATGAATGTGATGTCATGTTCCTGATCGAGGAAAAATCAAGCAAAAGTTGAGGAAGCCGTGGGGAGGCAGTGGGTACACAGGGCCAGTCCCTCCTCCTGTCCCCACAGAGAACCTGTTCTGTGTCCTCCTCCTTGGGGAGATATACCTCAGCATCATTTATACTTTACTATGTTCCTGCTAAGTGAAATGATTCAAGTGATTCCAACAGCAAATGTGTCAGACCCTATTCAAGGCATTGGGATGCACCAACTCTGACCACATAGAGCAGGGGGTGGGGATATGGAGTTGTCAGGAGGGTGAGAGGCTTACATTTTAAACGTAGGTCAATGTATGTGAAGGAAAAATACAAAATCCCATTTAGTTGCATGTATTATTTTATTCCTCTCATTCAAAATAGTAATAGTCAAAAGAGTACTATATATATATATGTATTTTTTTTTTTAATGAAACTTAAGAAATACTGGCCAGGGCCAGGCGTGGTGGCTCACGCCTGTAATCCCAGCACTTTGGGAGGCCGAGGCGGGTGGATCACAAGGTCAGGATATCGATACCATCCTGGCTAACACAGTGAAACCCCGTCTCTACTAAAAATACAAAAACAAAATTAGATGGGTGTGGTGGCAGGCACCTGTAGTCCCAACTACTTGGGAGGCTGAGGCAGGAGAATGGCATAAGCCTGGGAGGCAGAGCTTGCAGTGAGCTGAGGTCACACCACTGCACTCCAGCCTGGGCAACAGAGCGAGATTCCGTCTAAAAAAAAAAACTAATAAATAAAAGTCTAAAAGTTAGCCATGTTACCATCCCCTAGAAATGGTTATAACTATTTAAATATTTAAACTTCTAATGGTATATTTTGAGACAGATTATATTACAAAAATCAGTACAGAGTTGCCTGGTTTTCTGCCTCACCCTTTTAACTTAATTATAAACATTTGTAAATGTGACATTGAAAAAGTAGAATAAAATCATAAAGCATCATATATTTTTTTCTCAAAAATGTCCTAACAAAAGTGCTTTTGAGGTCGATTTTGGGAGACTCTTTTGCATAAAACTTGAGCCAGTTCATAACTGATCTTGGGTGACATTTAAAAGAGGTGACAATTGAGGAAGTTGCTGTTCCCATAAGGATCACATGAGGACAATCCCAGGAAGCCCGGCTGCAAAACCAGAGACATTGGGTACAGCCCACTGGAGCATCAGCCTCACCGCCGGGGACACTGGTCTCAGGGATAGGAAGTGTGTGGAGGGGGTGGGAAGGAGGAATAGCAGTGCCCACAGGGTTTCCAGGGCCCAGGGGAGGCCCTCAAGGGGCCTAGGATCAGGACTGTTTACCAACCAATATTAAAGTATTTTAATATTTTAATAACCAGTGCAACCACACCAGTACATCTCAGCTAAACATCAGCCCTGGCCACAACAGTATTATTTCAATAATTAGGATGTCCACTTCCATGCAATAGTCAAAACTTTGATTTTCTCTACTTCTCCACCTCAGACCTGCTTCAAACTGGGAAGAGAGCTCACTGAGTATGTCTATCTGGGGGAAGAAAGGCATGAAAGAGAGATGAAGAACAGAAAAGGCCCTATTTAATCTGATGTTACAGAATGTTCACAACCGGCTCTATCCCTGAAAGATTCCTACTGAGAGATCCACAGTGATTTCCCATTTTGCACACCCAGTTATGTCTCAAGATACAAGCAATGTGGCTCTTCCTGCTGACTCCTTTCAGGCACCACTTCCAGCATCCGCCCCTGGAGGTGCAACCCACAGCCTCTCCGCTGGTGCCCCTCAACTCTTGGTCAGGGTCCCTTCTGCACAGCTCCACCTCAATTACCTCCTAGACTGTACTTGACTCATGGGACCCCCTTGTCATGCAAATGATGAAAGTGTAGGCACTCACACCACTTTCCTCTCTTCTTACCGTGGTTCCTGGTTCCTCTCAGTGTCTTGGACCTGTGGTTTTCACAGGCAGAGGTCCAACATTTGCTTCTTAATTTGCTCCTAGAATCCAGGGAGATGATACAAGCTCATAGAATAGCCTCCTTACAGGCCCTCCTGCCAGGCAAGGATGTGGGAGAGTAAATATTCAACCGCACCCAGCAACATTCTCCTGAGAAATCTCCCTATTCAACCATTCAATGCAATTGTCTTCTATCCTTGAATGGATCTTGAACAAAGGTCTGTCACAAAGCTATTCACCAATTCATCTGCAAAATCCAAGAAAATGATTAAGCATCATTTTTATAATGACTAAGGACTTGACATCTTTTGTTTCTTTTTTTTTTTTTTTTGAGACGTAGTCTTGCTCTGTCGCCCAGGCTGGAGTGCAGTGGCGCGATCTCGGCTCACTGCAAGCTCCGCCTCCTGGGTTCACGCCATTCTCCTGCCTCAGCCTCCCGAGTAGCTGGGATTACAGGCGTCGGCCACCACGCCCAGCTAATTTTTTGTATTTTTAGTAGAGACGGGGTTTCACCGTGTTAGCCAGGATGGTCTCGATCTCCTGACCTGGTGATCCGCCCGCTTCGGCCTCCCAAAGTGCTGGGATTATAGGCTTGAGCCACTGCGCCCCGCCTGTTTTGTTCTTAAAATAGAAGTCATTCCATGTCATTAAATATTCCACAATATGTTGTTTAGGGTTGAGTATTATTCTAGTCCCCTTTTGATGGACATTTAGATTGCTTCCAGTTTGAGGTTATTATAAATAAGCTGTGACAGTTTTATAGCCAGGTATTTCTGTATATTTACTTTTTTTTTTTTTTTTTTTTTGAGTCGTAGTCTTGCTCTGTCGCCCAGGCTGGAGTGCAATGGCGCGATCTCGGCTCACTGCAAGCTCTGCCTCCCGAGTTCACGCCATTCTCCTGCCTCAGCCTCCTGAGTAGCTGGGACTACAGGCGCCCACCACCACGCCCGTCTAATTTTGTTTTTGTATTTTTAGTAGAGACGGGGTTTCACCATGTTAGCCAGGATGGTCTTGATCTCCTGACCTCGTGACCTACCCGCCTTGGTCTCCCAAAGTGCTGGGATTACAGGCGTGAGCCACCGCACACGGTCTGTATATTTACTCTGTTAGGGGAAATTCCTAGATATCTAATTTCTACCAAATTTTCAATGGGTATAAAAGACACTTGAAAATGTAGTGCTTATTGTCATATTGTCCTCTGTTCCTCTGTGAAGATTTGGATATTTATGTTAACGACAGCACTATATGAGTGATTGATTCCCCAGAAACCAGGATTTTTATTTTTCACTTTTTTTTTTTTCTTGAGATGGAGTCTGGCTCTGCCGCCCAGGCTGTAGTGCAGTGGCGCGATCTCGGCTCACTGCAAGCTCCGCCTCCCGGGTTCACGCCATTCTCCTACCTCAGCCTCCCGAGTAGCTGGGACTACAGGCGGCCGCCACCACGCCTGGCTAATTTTTTGTATTTTGTAGTAGAGACGGGGTTTCACCGTGTTAGCCAGGATGGTCTCATCTCCTTATCTCGTGATCCGCCCGCCTCGGCCTCCCAAAGTGCTGGGATTACAGGTGTGAGCCACGGCGCCCAGCCTATTTTTCACTTAAAAAAAAATCATAATGACAGGCAAGAGAGATATCTCATCGTGCTTTCCAATTTGCACATGAAAAATGTGTGGAACCTGGGTCAAGCTCTGTGGTCTGGCCGGTCTCAGCTTCCTGGAGTTCTCTCCAGGTAGAGAAAATGGGGAAAGTACTCTTTTCAGAAAGAACAATGTTAAGTACACGTTTGGGAATTGAATATGAAGACCACTTTGGAAAAAATCTTGAAATTTGGGCATTATTTCTATCAGCTGTGCTCAACCAGAGGAAATTTTGCCGCCTCGGGACATTCAGCAATGTCTGGAGACATTTTTATTTGTTACAACTGTTGAGGGGAGGTGGTGCAGAAGGTCTGAAGAAGAGAATGGAGAGAAAGTGTGTGTAATACAGAAATAAATTGATGGAGAGATAATATGTCCTCAGATATCCTATCAACTGGACATACTCTACTAGACAATGATAGAAAACTGAAAAAATTAAGAATGATGAACTAATAAATCAGAGACTTTAAGAACTTTAACCTTCAGGAAATTACCTAATTAGAAACCACTTAAAAATTAGAAGGAAAAAAAAGGCTGTTACATGTTCAAATTTCTTTTTGTCAATAAATGTCCCAGTTACAATTTGGGCAGATTAAAAATCAGAACCTGGAAGAAAAGAAACCAAGAACAGGCTCTCCTGTGCATAAGGAATGAAGCTGAAGTGTGGCTTGGAAACAAGAAAAGATAGAAATCACAGAAGTATTTTGAAGGAAATATAAATAAGACAGATCTGGAGAATCTGTTAAAGAGCCAAGAGAGAAAAATACAGGTTTACATCCCAGTAATATGCTTCACTTTAAAGGCAATGGGATTACCAAGTAAGGATAGCATTATACTTTACTTTCAACAAAATACCTTTATTCTGTTTACACCATTTCTTTAAATGCTCTGGTTTTCATATAGAATATCCGAACACCTGGTGTGCCTGGGACTGAGGTTATACTCAGGGTGCAGGGCTATCGGCAGTAAGATCTGGACAGTGCCAGACAAGCTGGGAGTAAGCAAACTCGCTGTATCTTCGTGGGCTTCGATGCTTCACTTTCTTATATGCTAAGCATTTCTTATTTTCATTTTATTTTTTAATTTCTCATTGTGATTTTAAAAACACATACAGGCCAGGCGTGGTGGCTCACGCGGTAATCCCAGCACTTTGGGAGGCCGAGGTGGGCGGATCACCTGAGGTCGGGAGTTCGAGACCAGCCTGGCTAACACGGTGAAAAACCCCATCTCTACTAAAAACTACAAAAAATTAGCTGGGCCTGGTGGCGGGCACCTGTAGTCCCAGCTGCTCAGGAGGCTGAGGCAGGAGAATGGCGTGAACCCAGGAGGCAGAGCTTGCAGTGAGCCGAGATCACGCCACTGCACTCCAGCCCAGGCAACAGAGTGAGACTCTGTCTCAAAAAAATTAAAAAAAAATTAAAAATTAAAAAATACATATATATTTTAAAACACATAAGAAATTTACCATTTCAACCACTTTTTAAGTGCACAGTTCAGTAGCGTTCACTGTATGCACAGTGTTGTGTAACAAATCTCCAGAACTTTTTAATCTTGCAAACCTGAAACTAAACCAGTTAAACAACGTCTCCCCATTTCTCCATGTCCCCAGTCTCTGGCAATCACCATTGTAGTTTCTGTTTCTATGAGTTTGTCTATTTTTGAAACCTCCTATAAATGTAATCATACAATACTTGTCTTTTTGTGATTGGCTTATTTCACTTAGTACAATATCCTCAAGGTTCATTCATGTTGTAGCATGTGACAGAATTTTCTTCTTTGTTAAGGTCAAATAGTATTCCATTGTATGTATATTCCACATTTTCTTTATTCATCTTTTAATAGACATTTGGGTTGCTTCCAACTCTTGACTTTTGTGAATAATGCTGCAATTAACATGGGTATGCAGATAACTCTTTGACATAATTATTTTAGTTCTTTTGCATACATACCCAGAAGTGAGATTCCTGGATCATATAGTAGTTCTATTTTTAATTATTTGGGGAACCTCAGATCATTTTTCCATAGCAGCTGCACCATTTTTTCATTCCTACCAACAGTGTAAAAGGGTTCCAGTTTCTTCTCATCCTTCCAATATGTTTTGCTTGGTCTTTTTTTGTAGTGACCATCCTGATGGGTAGGCGATCGCTCATTGTAGTTTTAATTTGATTAAAGGCACTGAACATTTTTTTAATGTTTATACTTCTTCTTGGGAGGAATGTCTATTCAAGTTCTTGGCCCATTTTTTTAACAGATTGTCTTTTGTTGTTGACTTGTAGTGGTTCTCTATAGACAAGTATTCTGGATATTAACCCCTTTTAGATATAATTTGCAAATATTTTCTCTCATTTCACAGGTTGCTTTGTCACTGTTTCTTTGATGTGCAAAAATTTTTAAGTTTGATGTAGTCCTATTTGTCTACCTTTTTCTTTTGTTTCCTATTCTTTTGGTATCATATTCAAGAAATCATTACCAAATTCAGTGTCATGAAGCTTTTCTTACACTTTTCTCCTAGTCATTTTACAGTTGTAGGTCTCATGTCTAGGTCTTTAATCAATTTTAAGTTAATTTTTATATATGATGTAAGGTTAAGTTTCAACTTCATTCTTTTGCATGTGGATATCTAGTGTTTACAACACCAATTATTGAAGAGACTGTCCTTTCCCCATTGTTTTGTCTTGGTACCCTTGTTGAAGATCATGTATGTGAGAGTTTAATTCTGAACTTCCTGTTCTGTTTCATTGGTCTGTATATGTGTCTTTATGCCAGTGTTACACTGTCTTTAATTACTGTAGCTTCAAAATATTCTTAAAATCAAAAGTGTGAGCACTCTAACTTCATTCTTCTTTTTTAAGATTGTTTTGGCTATGCAGGGTCCCTTGAGATTCTATGTAAATTATAGAATGGTTTTATTCCATTTCTGCAAAAAAGTCATTTGCATTTTGTTAAGAATTGCATTGAATCAGTAAATCACTTTGGGTACATGGATATCTTAACACTAAGTCTTTCAATTCATGAGTACAGGATGTCTTTCTATTTATTTATGTCTCTTTAATTTCTTTCAGCAATGTCTTGTAGGTTTTTTGTGTTTTGCTGTGTTTTGTTTTGTTTTGTTGAGACAGGGTCTCACTCTGTTTGCCCAGGCTGGAGTGCAGTGGCATGATCTCGGCTCACTGCAGCCTCGACCTCCTGAGCTCAGGTGATTCTCCCACCTCAGCCTCCCAAGTAACTGGGACTACAGGCATGTGCCACCATGCCTGGCTATTTTTTGTATTTTTAGTAGAGAGGGGGTTTCGCCATGTTGCCCAACTTGGTCTTGAACTCCTGGACTCAAGCAATCCACCCACCTTGGCCTCCCAAAGTGCTGGGATTACAGGTGTGAGCCACTGCACCCAGCCTGTTTCGTAGTTTTCAGTGTGCAAGGTTTTCCCATCCTTGGTTAAGTTTATTCCAAAGTATCTTATTCTTCTTGTTACTATTGTTTATGCTTTTATAAGTTCCTGATGGGATTGTTTTCTTAAATGCGTTTTTGGATTACTGACTGTTAGTGTATAAATATGCAATTACTTTTTGTTCACTTTGGATTATAAAATTTTGTTGAATTTATTAGTTCTAACAGTTTTTAGTGCTTTCTACAATAAGATTATGTCATCTGTAAACAGAGATCATTTTACTTCTTGCTTTCCATTTTGGATAGCTGTTATTTCTTTCTCATATCTAATTTCCCAGGCTAAGACTGTCACTACTATGTTGAATAGAAGTGGTCAGTATGGGCCAGGCGTGGTGGTTCACGCCTGTAATCCCAGCACTTTGGGAGGCCAAGGCAGGCGGATCACGAGGTCAGGAGATCGAGACCATCCTGGTTAACACGGTGAAACCCCGTCTCTACTAAAAAAATACAAAAAAAAAAAAAAATTAGCCGGGCATGGTGGCGAGCGCCTGTAGTCCCAGCTACTCAGGAGGCTGAGGCAGAAGAATGGCTGAACCCAGGAGGCGGAGCTTGCAGTGAGCCGAGATCGTGCCCCTGCACCCCAGCCTGGGGAACAGAGCGAGACTCCGTCTCAAAAAAAAAAAAAAAAGAAGTGGTCAGTATGGACATTCTTGCCTTGTTCTTTTTCTTTTTTTTTTATTATTATTATACTTTTAAGTTCTAGAGTACATGTGCACAATGTGCAAATTTGATACATATGTATACATGTGCCATGTTGGTGTGCTGCACCCATTAACTCATCATTTACATCAGGTATATCTCCTAATGCTATCCCTCCCCCCACCCAACAACAGGCCCCAGTGTGTGATGTTCCCCTTCCTGTGTCCAAGTGTTCTGATTGTTCAATTCCCACCTATGAGTGAGAACATGCAGTGTTTGGTTTTTTATCCTTGCGATAGTTTGCTCAGAATGATGGTTTCCAGCTTCATCCATGTCCCTACAAAGGACATGAACTCATCCTTTTTTATGGCTGCATAGTATTCCATGGTGTATATGTGCCACATTTTCTTAATCCAGTCTATCATTGATTGACATTTTGGTTGGTTCCAAGTCTTTGCCATTGTGAATAGTGCTGCAATAAACATACATGTGCATGTGTCTTTATAGGAGTGTGATTTATAATCCTTTGGGTATATACCCAGTAATGGGATGGCTGGGTCAAATGGTATTTCTAGTTATAGATCCTTGAGGAATTGCCACACTGTCTTCCACAATGGTTGATCTAGTTTACAGTCCCACCAACAGTGTAAAAGCATTCCTATTTCTCCACATCCTCTCAAGCACCTGTTGTTTCCTGACTTTTTAATGATCGCCATTGTAACTGGTGTGCGATGGTATCTCATTGTGGTTTTGATTTGCATTTCTCTGATGGCCAGTGATGATGAGCATTTTTTCATGTGTCTGTTGGCTGCATAAATGTCTTCTTTTGAGAAGTGTCTGTTCATATCCTTTGCCCACTTTTTGATGGGGTTGTTTGTTTTTTTCTTGTAAATTTGTTTGAGTTCTTTGTAGATTCTGGATATTAGCCCTTTGTCAGATGAGTAGATTGCAAAAATTTTCTCCCATTCTGTAGGTTGCCTGTTCACTCTGATGGTAGTTTCTTTTGCTGTGCCCAAGCTCTTTAGTTTAATTAGATCCTATTTGTCAATTTTGGCTTTTGTTGCCATTGCTTTTGGTGTTTTAGACATGAAGTCCTTGACCATGCCTATGTCCTGAATGGTATTGCCTAGGTTTTCTTCTAGGGTTTTTATGTTTTTAGGTCCAACATTTAAGTCTTTAATCCATCTTGAATTAATTTTTGTATAAGGTGTAAGGAAGGGACACAGTTTCAGCTTTCTACATATGGCTAGCCAGTTTTCCCAGCACCATTTGTTAAATAGGGAATCCTTTCCCCATTTCTTGTTTTTGTCAGGTTTGTCAAAGATCAGATGGTTGTAGATGTGTGGTATTATTTCTGAGGGCTCTGTTCTGTTCCATTGGTCTGTATCTCTGTTTTGGTAACAGTACCATGCTGTTTTGGTTACTATAGCCTTGTAGTATAGTTTGAAGTCAGGTAGCGTGATGCCTCCAGCTTTGTTCTTTTGGCTTAGGATTGTCTTGGCAATGTGGGCCCTTTTTTGGTTCCTATGAACTTTAAAGTAGTTTTTTCGAATTCTGTGAAGAAAGTCATTGGTAGCTTGATGGGGATGACATTGAATCTATAAATTACCTTGGGCAGTATGGCCATTTTCATGATATTGATTCTTCCTATCCATGAGCATGGAATGTTCTTCCATTTGTTTGTGTCCTCTTTTATTTCGTTGAGCAGTGGGTTGTAATTCTCCTTGAAGAGGTCCTTCACATCCCTTGTAAGTTGGATTCCTAGTATTTTATTCTCTTTGGAAGCAATTGTGAATGGGTGTTCACTCATGATTTGGCTCTCTGTTTGTCTGTTATTGGTATGTAAGAATGCTTGTGATTTTTGCTCATTGATTTTGTATCCTGAGACTTTGCTGAAGTTGCTTATCAGCTTAAGGAGATTTTTGGCTGAGATGATGGGGTTTTATAAATATACAATCATGTCATCTGCAAACAGGGACAATTTGACTTCCTCTTTTCCTAATTGGATACCCTTTATTTCTTTCTCCTGCCTTATTGCCCTGGCCAGAACTTCCAGCACTGTGTTGAATAGGAGCAGTGAGAGAGGGCATCCCTGTCTTGTGCCAGTTTTCAAAGGGAATGCTTCCAGTTTTTGCCCATTCAGTATGATATTGGCTGTGGGTTTGTCATAGATAGCTCTTACTATTTTGAGATACATCCCATCAATACCTAATTTATTGAGAGTTTTTAGCATGAAGGGCTGTTGAATTTTGTCGAAGGCCGTTTCTGCATCTATTGAGATAATCATGTGGTTTTTTGTCTTTGGTTCTGTTTATATGCTGGATTACGTTTATTAATTTGTGTATGTTGAACTAGCCTTGCATCCCAGGGATGAAGCCCACTTGATCATGGTGGATAAGCTTTTTGATGTGCTGCTGGGTTCAGTTTGCCAGTATTTTATTGAAGATTTTTGCATCAATGTTCATCAGGGATATTGGTCTAAAATGCTCTTTTTTGTTGTTGTTGTGTCTCTGCCAGGCTTTGGTATCAGGATGATACTGGCCCCATAAAATGAGTTAGGAAGGATTCCCTCTTTTTCTGTTGATTGGAATAGTTTCAGAAGGAATGGTACCAGCTCCTCCTTGTACCTCTGGTAGAATTCGGCTGTGAATCCATCTGGTCCTGGACATCTTTTGGTTGGTAGGCTATTAATTATTGCCTCAATTTCAGAGCCTGTTATTGGTCTATTCAGGGATTCAACTTCTTCCTGGTTTAGTCTTGGGAGGGTGTATGTGTCCAGGAATTTATCCATTTCTTCTAGATTTTCTAGTTTATTTGCATAGAGGTGTTTATAGTATTCTCTGATGGTAGTTTGTATTTCTGTGGGATCAGTGGTGATATCCCCTTTATCATTTTTTATTGCATCTAATTCTTCTCTCTTTTCTTCTTTATTAGTCTTGCTAGCAGTCTATCAATTTTGTGGATCATTTCGAAAAACCAGCTCCTGGATTCATTGATTTTTGAAGGGTTTTTTGTGTCTCTATTTCCTTCAGTTCTGCTCTGATCTTAGTTATTTCTTGCCTTCTGCTAGCTTTTGAATGTGTTTGCTCTTGCTTCTGTAGTTCTTTTAATTGTGGTGTTAGGGTGTCAATTTTAGATCTTTTCTGTTTTCTCTTATGAGCATTTAGTGCTATACATTTCCCTCTCCACACTGCTTTAAATGTGTCCCAGAGATTCTGGTATGTTGTGTCTTTGTTCTCGCTGGTTTCAAAGAACATGTTTATTTCTGCCTTCATTTCATTATGTAGCCAGTAGTCATTCAGGAGCAGGTTCTTCAGTTTCCATGTAGTTGAGTGGTTTTGATTGAGTTTCTTAATCCTGAGTTCTAGTTTGATTGCACTGTGGTCTGAGAGACAGTTTGTTATAATTTCTGTTCTTTTACATTTGCTGAGGAGTGCTTTACTTCCAACTATGTGGTCAGTTTTGGAATAAGTGTGATGTGGTGCTGAGAAGAATGTATATTCTGTTGATTTGGGGTGGAGAGTTCTGTAGATGTCTATTAAGTCTGCTTGGTGCAGAGTTGCATTCAATTCCTGGATATCCTTGTTAACTTTTTGTCTCATTGATCTGTCTAATGTTGACAGTGGGGTATTAATGTCTGCCATTATTATTGCATGGGAGTCTAAGTCTCTTTGTAGGTCTCTAAGGACTTGCTTTATGAATCTGGGTGTTCTTTTATTGGGTGCATATATATTTAGGATAGTTAGCTCTTCTTGTTGAATTGATCCCTTTACCATTATGTAATGGCCTTCTTTGTCTCTTCTGATTTTTGTTGGTTTAAAGTCTGTTTTATCAGAGACTAAGATCACAATCCCTGCCTTTTTCTGTTTTCCATTTTCTTGGTAGATCTTCCTCCATCCCTTTATTTTGAGCCTATGTGTGTCTCTGCACGTGAGATGGGTCTCCTGAATACAGCACACTGATGGGTCTTGACTCTTTATCCAATTTTCCAGTCTTTGTCTTTTAATTGGAGCGTTTAGCCCATTTACATTTAACGTTAATATTGTTATGTGTGAATTTGATCCTGTCATTATGATGTTAGCTGGTTAGTTTGCTCATTAGTTGATGCAGTTTCTTCCTAGCATCGATGGCCTTTACAATCTGGCATATTTTTGCAGTGACTTGTACCGGTTTTTCCTTTCCATGTTTAGTGCTTCTTTCAAGAGCTCTTGTAGGGCAGGCCTGGTAGTGACAAAAATCTCTCAGAATTTGCTGGTCTGTAAAGGATTTTATTTCTCCTTCTCTTATGAAGCTTAGTTTGGCTGGATATGAAACTCTGGGTTGAAAATTCTTTTCTTTAAGAATGTTGAATATTGGCCCCCACTCTCTTCTGGCTTGTAGAGTTTCTGCCGAGAGATCCTCTGTTAGTTTGATGGGCTTCCCTTTGTGGGTAACCTGACCTTTCTCTCTGGCTGCCCTTGACATTTTTTCCTTCATTTCAACTTTGATGAATCTGACAGTTATGTGTCTTGGAGTTGCTCTTCTCAAGGAGTATCTTTGTGGCATTCTCTGTATTTCCTGAATTTGAATGTTGGCCTGCCTTGCTAGCTTGGGAAAGTTCTCCTGGATAATATCCTGCCAAGTGTTTTCCAACTTGGTTCCATTTCTCCCCGTCACTTTCAGGTACACCAATCAGACGTAGATTTGGTCTTTTCACATAGTCCCATATTTCTTGGAGGCTTTGTTCGTTTCTTTTTACTCTTTTTTCTCTAAACTTCTCTTCTCACTTCATTTCATTCATCTGATCTTCAACCACTGATCGAATCGGCTACTGAAGCTTGTGTGTTCGTCACGTAGTTCTTGTGCCACGGTTTTCAGTCCATCAGGTCCTTTGAGGTCTTCTCTACACTGGTTATTCTAGTCAGCCATTCGTCTAATCTTTTTTCAAGGTTTTTAGCTTCTTTGCGATGGGTTCAAACTTCCTCCTTTAGCTTGGAGAAGTTTGATCATCTGAAGCTTTCTTCTCTTGTCAAAGTCATTGTCTGTCCAGCTTTGTTCCTTTGCTGGAGAGGAGCTGCATTCCTTTGGAAGGGGAGAGGCACTCTGATTTTTAGAATTTTCAGCTTTTCTGCCCTGTTTTTTCCCCATCTTTGTGGTTTTATCTACCTTTGGTCTTTGATGATGGTGACGTACAGATGGGGTTTTGGTGTGGATGTCCTTTCTGTTTGTTAGTTTTCCTTCTAACAGGCAGGACCCTCAGCTGCAGGTCTGTTGGAGTTTGCTGGAGGTCCACTCCAGCCCCTGTTTGCCTGGGTATCAGCAGCGGAGGCTGCAGAACAGTGAATATTGCTGAACAGCAAATCTTGCTGCCTGATCGCTCTTCTGGAAGCTTCATCTCAGTGTGGTACCTGGCCGTGTAAGGTGTCAGTCTGCCCCTACTGGATGGTGCCTCCCAGTTAGGCTACTCAGGGGTCAGGGACCCACTTGAGGAGGCAGTCTGTCTGTTCTCAGATCTCAAACTCCATGCTGGGAGAACCACTACTCTCCTCAAAGCTGTCAGACAGGGACATTTAAGTCTGCAGAGGTTTCTGCTGCCTTTTGTTCAGCTATGCCCTGTCCCCAGAGGTGGAGTCTACAGAGGCAGGCAGGCCTCCTTGAGCTGTGGTGGGCTCCACCCAGTTCGAGCTTCCAGGCCACTTTGTTTACCTACTCAAGCCTCAGCAATGGCAGGTGCCCCTTCCCCAGCCTCACTGCCGCCTTGCAGTTCAATCTCAGACTGCTGTGCTAGCAATAAGTGAGGCTCCGTGGGCATGGGACCCTCCGAGCCAGGCACGGGATATAATCTCCTGGTGTACTGTTTGCTAAGACCATTGGAAAAGTGCAGTATTAGGGTGGGAGTGACCCAATTTTCCAGGTGCCTTCTGTCACTGCTTCCCTTGGCTAGGAAAGGGAATTCCCTGACCCCTTGTGCTTCCCAGGTGAGGCGACGCCTTGCCCTGCTTCAGCTCATGCTCAGTGGGCTGCACCCACTGTCCTGCCCCCACTATCTGACAAGCCCCAGTGAGATGAAGCCAGTACCTCAGTTGGAAATGCAGAAATCACCCATCTTCTCCATCACTTATGCTGGGAGCTTAGACTGGAGCTGTTCCTATTCGGCCATCTTGGAACCGCCCCGCCTTGTTCTTGATCTTAGGGAAAGTTTTCAGGTTTTCATCATTGAGTATGGTGTTAGCCCTGTATGTGTGCACACATATTATATTTATATAACATTTATGTGTATATCTATACATATACATACATACTTATTCAAACCCACACATAACATTTATTATGTTGAGGTAATTTTTTTCTACTCTTCGTTTCTTAATTTTGTCATGAAAGGGTGTTCAATTTTGTCACATGCTTTTTCTGAATCAATTAAGATGATTGTGTGCTTTTTGTCTTTTATTCTGTTAATGCAATGTATTACACTGATTTTCATATATTGAACTATCCTTGCATTAGGAGGAATAAAACCTGGTCACAATATATAGTTCTTTGAATGTACTGTTAAATTCAGTTTGCAAATATTTTGTTGAGGATTTTTCATTAATATTCATCAGGTGTAATAATCTATAGTTTTCTTGTATCTTTGTCTAGGTTTGGTATCAGGGTAATGTTGCCCTTATAAAATAAGTTTAGAAGTGTTTTCTCTCTGCGATTTTTTTGGAAGAGGTTAAGGATAATTATTAATTTTTCTTTAAATGTTTGGTAGATTCTCCAGTGAAATCATTTGGGTCTGGTCCATTTTTTGTTGGGAGATTTTTGAATACTGATTTATTCTCCTTACTAGTTACACATCTGTTCAGATTTCTTTATTTCTTCATGATTCCATCTTGGTAGGTTGTATCTTACCACGAATTCACCCATTTCTTCTAGTTTGCCTAACTCGTTGGCTTATAATTGTTCTTAGTAGTCCCTTATAATCCTTTCTATTTCTGTGGCATCAGTTATAATATCTGATAAAAAATGAATGAGGCATTCATTTCTGATTTTAGTTATTTGAGTATTCTCTCTTTTTCTTAATCTAGCTAAAGGATTTTCAATTTTGTTGTTATTTTTTAAATCTAACTTTTATAAAAGTTATTCTTTATTCCATTTATTCTTACTCTAATCTTTATATTCTTCCTTCTGCTAACTTTGGATTTAGTTTGTTCTCTTTTACTGGTTCCTTTGTGTATAAAATTAACTTGTTGATTTGAGACCTTTCTTTTCTTTTTTTTGAGACGGAGTCTCACTCTGTTGCCCAGGCTGGAGTGCAGTGGTGCCATCTCAGGTCACTGCAAGCTCTGCCTCCCGGGTTCACACCATACTCCTGCCTCAGCCTCCTGTAGCTGGAACTCCAGGCACCTGCCACCATGCCAGGCTAATATTTTGTGTTTTTAGTAGAGACGGGGTTTCGTCGTGTTAGCCAGGATGGTCTCAATCTCCTGAACTTGTGATCCGCCCACCTCAGCCTCCCAAAGTGCTGGGATTACAGGCATGAGACACCGCGCCCTGCCGAGAGGCCTTTCTTTTTTTTATGGCATATTCCACTATAAAATTCTCTCTTAGTATTGCTTTTGCTGCTTCTGTAAGTTTTAGTGTGTTGTATTTTTGTTTCATTTTTACAAATTATTTTGCAATTTTCCTTGTGATTCCTTCTTTGATTCATTGGTTATTTAAGAGTGTGTTGATTAAATTCTGCATATTCATGAATTTTCCAGTTTTTCTTCTGCTATTGATTTCTAGTTTCATTCTATTGTACTGGGAAAAATACTTGATATTATTTCAATCTGCTTAAAACTGTTAAGACTTGTTTAGTGGTCTAGTATGTGGTCTTTCTCGCAGAATGTTCCAACTGTGCTTGAGAAGAATGTGTATTCTGCCATTGTTGGGTGAAATGTTGTATGGATGTGTATTTGGTCCATTTGGTCTATGATGTTATTCATGTCCTCTGTCCCATTATTGATCTTCTGCTGGCTGTTCTACCCATTATTGAAAGTGGAGTATTGAATCCTACTATTATTGTATGCTGTTTATTTCTCCCTTGAATCCTGTCAATGTCTGCTTCACATATTTGAGAACACTGACGTTAGGTGTGTATATATTTATAATTATTATATTTTCCTGGTAAATGGACCAGGTTATTATATATTGTTCTTTGTACCTTGTGATATTTTTTACTTAATGACTATTTTTTTTTCTGGTATAGATGTAGCCACCTATACTCTGTTTTTGTATACTCTCTTTTTGTTACAATTTGCAGGGAGTATCTTTTCTATTCTTTTACTTTCACCTTATATGTCTCCTTAGATTTAAAGTGAGTCTCTTGTACACAGCATATAGTAGAATTTTTTAATCCATTCAGCCAACCTGTCTTTTTATTGGGGAAACTAGTCTATTTACATGAAAGATATTACTAATATGGAAGAACTGCTATTGACATTTTATTCATTGTGTTTTTGTATGCCTTGTAGCTATTTTGTACCTCTTTCTCTCTGGCATCCTTCCTTTTTGTTTCATTGATTTTCTTTTTGGTAGTATATGCCTTGATTTCTTTTTCATTTTCTTTTGTGTATTTTCATTAGCTATTTTCTTTGTGGTTACTGAAAGGATCACATTTTCTTTTGTGTACATTCACAAGCTGTTCTCTTTGTGGTTACCATGGGGATCACATAAAACATCTTAAAGTTTCAACAATATATTTTAAACTGGTAACAACTTCAATCACATGCAAAAACTCTACTTCTTTACGTCTTGCCTCCCACTTTATGTTTCTGATATTCCAAATTCTCTCTTGAGCATACTGTGCTGTGCACACTAGTTGAAGGGGGTATCACAAGTAAATATAATACACTTTCTTATCCACTTCAATACAGCTCTTCTTGGCTTTGGATTTACCTGGGGTGCTGCAACATAAGTTGTTTCTGGAGTTCCAAAAAAGGTAATTTGTTCCATATATTGTTGTTAAGTTGCTGTCTCTATTGGGGAACAAGGCCTAGGGCTCCCTATTCCACCATTTTGGTGACAACACTATTATCATAGTTTTAACTGAAGACACTAATTGTCTTCCTGACCAAGCC